>NC_000011.10:36120606-36272121 GCF_000001405.40 Homo sapiens | reverse complement strand
TTTGTGTGATGAAGCAGCTGTATACAAACTGTCCTTCCTCAGGGTGTGGCAAGGTTTGGATGTCCAAACTCCATCCACAGAAGGACAATGATCCATCTCACTGGTGCCTGTGCTGGCTGCCCAACACATCCCACCCAGCCACCCACCAACAGGGGTCAGCATCTGCCTCAATCCTGATCAAATGCATGTGCCACAGCGATTGTCTCATGAATGTTCATGATTCCAATCAGCCAATCTGAGTCTGTCCCTGGGGCTTTCTCTGCTGTAATTTCTGAGACCACCTCCTGCCTCTAGGCTCTGACAGCCAGGCCAGTGATGATGAGGTCCATCTTCCTGCCACACCGAAAGCTCATCTGCAGTCGGAGAGGCCATCTAGACCCCAGAGGTTGGGAAGAAGATGAGAAAATCTTGGTACCTGATGCCATTCCCACTCTTCCTCCTTATGTATTCATCAGGACGGACCAGGCTTGTGTTAAGGTGTACCCGGGATTTGTTTTAATCAGGAATGGCAAGACTCACAGGCACAGAGGTGATTGTCATGAGGAAGAAGTCTGTGCTCACAGAACCCTAGAAACAGGAGGCATGGCATGCCACGTAGGGCCACATGGGGAAGGACCATCTCTCTGGGGCTTTTGGGGAAGTTGGAAACAGGTGCTCTTTTTCCTTCCCGTTGATCATTAAACATTGAGTCCCTCGTCTCTAGGGAGGGGACTTCTTATTTACCCCTGGGTTGGGAAATAAATCATGACAGCAGCAATCAGACAACAGCAGAGAAGTGTGTGATCTGAACATCTGTGGGATGCCGTGATCCCTGGAGGAGCCCTTCACACTGATCCCATGAATGGCCCTCAACACATGCACGAGCAAGGAGCAAGCGTTCCGACAAGTGCTCTCGCAGTACTCCAAGGAAGAGGCTGAAATTTGACTCAGCAAAGCCCAGAGGGAAAAGGGAAAGTGGTTTATGAGTGTCCTCAGGAGCTATCACATCCTAGACACTAGGCACTTTCATCTAAATGACTCTGATGACCCCAGTGTTGTCAGTGCTCCTCAGTCAGTGGATCAGACTTGCCCTTGGCATGAGGAGGATAGTCAGTCACTCCTGGTCCCCTTCAGAGGGACCTTTTGAGAAAAAAATATAGCCAATTACTTATGTAACCCCAGGCACTCTGTCCTGAATCCTGGGCATTCCACCACCGTGGAGAAATAGGTTAGTCCCAGACACATGACACCAGCCTATGAGGCAGCTCCGGGACTCAGCTGCTCGAACGAGCGTCGCAATTTCAAGTTGGGAATTAACGGCAACACCTGACAACACAACACAATGCAGTAGCCATCAAGCAGGAAGCCCGAGCACTCCACTCTCAGCTGTACCTTGCCAAGCAGTGGCTGCTGTCTGTCGGGAGCAGGTAGCAAGTCAAGATCAGTCTAAGGACATTCCATGTCCATCTGGCATCAAACCACCCTGCTACCTATGCCAGTTGTTCTCAGGATTTGTTTTAATCAGGAATGGTAAGACATAAGGCACACAGACGTGGAAATGATTATCATGAAGGAAGAAGTTTGTGCTCATAGAGCTCTAGAAGCAGGAGGTGTGGCACACGGGGCCACATGGTTCGGAAGGATAAGTGTTGGTCAGGAGGCAGGGAGAGGGGAGAGCATGGCCCCAAGCCTTTATTGGGGTTTTCATAGGAAGGAATGGTTAAGACAAGGTACATATGCTGGCTAAGTTTAGGGTTGGATAGTTTGAATAATTTGGATGGGTTCAGGGCCATAGGGATGGTCCCGAGTTGTCTGACCCTAGGGTGACTTAGGGCAGAGAGAATATTGGCTTGGTGTGTGAGAGTTTGGTTTTAAAAAGAAGAAGATGGTTGGGAGTGTGGGCTCCAGATTAGCTGGTTTGTACATCAAAGGCACGCTCCCAGGAGAATTGTTTGCCACCCCGCCCCCGACCCGTGTGTCTCTCTCTCTCTCTCTCTCTCTCTCTAGGAATTTGCTAGCCCTGAATGGGGTGACCTCTTTGGATCAAGGACCCAAATGTTAGCGCATGAAGAATACAGAAAATAAGAACATATACTCAATACAAGGTTATGCTGCAGTAACAAACAATCCCAAGGTTGTAGTGGCTTTTTACACAACTAAAGTTTCTTTGCCAATGCTGCACATTCACTGCAGGTTGGAGGAGGAGGGCGGGTAGTCTGCTCACTGTAATCACTAAGGGCCCAGGATGATGGAAGCTTCATCTCAACACATGCCTCCACAATCACCAAGGCAGGGAAAGGGACTATGGCAAATTGCACCTGTGATCTTAAAGCTCCTGCCCAGAAGTAACAGTCAAATCATATGGGCACACCTAACCATGAAAGGGCAGAGAAGCTGAATCCTACCATGTGCCAGGATGGAAGAGAAGTGGGATATTTGTGATTAGTTCTGATGACTACTGACACCTGTCATTGGAACCAAAAGATTCCTCTTTTGCTTAAGCAAAAGGAAGAAGAATTGTTCAAAAGAATTGTGGCCAGGTGCAGTGGCTTGCGCCTGCAATCCTAGCACTTTGGGAGGCCAAGGCGGGCAGATCACTTGAGGCCAAGCGTTTGAGACTGGCCTGGGCAAGATGGTGAAACTCTGTCGCTACATAAAATACAAATATCAGCTGGGCATGCTGGTGTATGCCTGTAGTCCCAGCTATTCAGGAGGCTGAGGTGGGAGGACTTCTTGAGCTTGACTGAGGTGGCAGTGAGCTGAGATCGCACCACTGCTCTCCAGCCTAGGTGACAGAGTGAGACTCTGTCTCAAAATAAAAATAAAAAAGAATTGTAATAATACATGCCCCAACACCCCATTTCAGCTTTTTTTCTCATGATATAATGATAAATCTCCTCACCTGTGTGGCACATGAGAGAACTTGAAACATTTTCTTAGATATCATCTTACCTCTTCACACAAACCTTCTGAGGTTATTGGAGCATCCATTCACAAGTATTTGTGCATTTTACTGAGGACAAGTCAGCTCAGAGTAGTCTGGGGCTGAGCTGGAACTTGTGTCTGGGGCTTTCAACTCAAAAGCCAGTGTTTTCTCCATTCCTGCCTCAATCTGGGGAAGAGAAAACTCATGATTCTTTGCAGATCGCCTAAATTTCCCCTTAATTTGGCAACTTTTGGCTCACTCCGTCATCAGTCCTGCCTTACCATCTCCATCTGGATCATGGTCATTTTCCTTTGCCTCCCTTTTCTGGTGATTTTTAGGTCCAAAGACAAATTGGCACGAGGACCAGACATTTGGGTTCTTCCCACACAAGCCAATTCTCTGAACACACACAGTGGGCACCATGTCCAATAGTCATTAGTCAAGCTCTGTGGTCTGGTATTTACAAATTTCCAGGAAACGAGTCCAGCGTGGTGCGAGAGGCTCTCCGTTACTTTGTTCAGTAAGCTGAGATGTTATCAGAAGTGACAATTTTTAAAAAAATTATTATTTGTTTTAATATTTTAATCTGGAAGCCATTGGCTACCTGGCATTTTGAAAGTTTTCCAGTGGTTGAACATTTACAAGAACAATTGTGAACCTGTGCCTGTTGGCTTCCAAATACTGATCGTTCCTAAACATTCTCTTACCAGCATAATGTTGACCTTTGCACAACTTCCTTCTTTCTTTGGTGCTCACATTTCTGTGATTTAATCGTCCTTTTTACAAGTACTTTAAGAAAGAAAAAATAAAAAAGATTTTCTAGTAGTATTCCCTGGTTGGTGTCAGAGGACCCTAAACTCTAAGGAGAGGGAATGGTTCTTTATTTGGGGAAGTGTCAAGAGCTCTTGAAGGTTAGTCTGAGAGGCTGAGTTTCTATTAGCCTCAGGTCCTTGGGAAAGTCTCTAATGGGCTTTTAGGTCTCATCTGTAAGTAGAGATGATAACTACTTAAGTAATGCATCTCATAAATTTACAGTAAACTGCATAGACCCACAGGCTGAAGAATGGAACTTTCTTGGCTATTGTTATCAATGTTGAACTAGCCATATGACCTAACACACATACCACACAGTAAAATACAATACTGTCCCAACAAACTGAATGATAAAGGATTTGAGAGATGCTCTGGGATATCAGAGGGCATGGGGTCATTGTTATACACATGCTGGATCCCCAGCTCAGGGGATGGCCTCTGCTTAGAATTTCAGGAACTCTGATAAAGCTCTTACTCAAGATATTTTTGCTTATTTGCTTATTAAACATCAGGGAGCAAGAGTCACTGTATTAGGATATTGATTTGGCTGCTTTAACAAAAACCCAGTTTCCATGGATTAAAGAATTTAGAAGTTTCTCTCTATGTAAAAGTCTGAGCTGGTAGGGGCTTTGAGTGGGTAGGATCGTTCTGCTCTGGTTTATAGACTCAGAATCCTTCCATCTTGTTTCACCAGCCACCAAGTATTGCCCTCATTGCTGTGAGCAAAGCCTGTGCCCCATCACCCTCCAAGTCTATATCCCAGCCATGGGAAAGAGGGAAGGGGAAGAGGATGAGGAGGAGGAGGGTATACCCCAGAAGTTGCCACGTTATTTTCACTCATATCCCACTGGCCTCAATCACATGATCTATACTTAGCTGCAAGATAGGTTGGGAAATACAGTCTCTGCTGGGTGGTCTTGTGTGTAGCTAACACATTGGGGTGGGGGAGGGCAGGAGAATGAGCTAGTGGGTTTCTGTATTTTACTGAAATAGAGCAGATAGTGAGAGACAATTCACAGGTACGGTCATAAACACCCACTCAGCTGACTACAGCTCAGTGTGGCTTAATTTATCAGTTGCTTTCCTGGAAGCAGCTTTTCTGCAGGAAGAGAAAAGAACAGAAAGGAACTATGCAGTGGTGGGGAGGAGCAGGTGGTGATGTGGGTGCTTCTTGAGGACAGAGACCATGTCTCATTCACTCGGTATCCATGATATCTTCCACTGTGACTGGCGCACAGTAGATTGCCCCATAAATGTCCCTTTGCATCCCACTTCTTCCACAAACTCACAGGATTTGACCTGTGTAGTAAACCATGCCTGAATTAGATTGAATGCAATAGAATGGCAGACTGACAGAATTCACGCTCACTTGAATTGCTCGTCCTAAATCGACCTCAGCTGGGCCCTAATTCACCAACTAGGTGATTTCATCATTCTCCAGCTTGCTTTCATTCTCCAGCATTGATTTCTGGCCTTTATTGGTTTTGAGTCTGTGAGCGTGGGAGATTTGTTCATAGCAGTCTCCCAGCCACACTATTTGGCTTGGGTAGGAAGAGGTAGGGATTGGGAACTCTGGATGAGGGTAGGAAGGAGCTGCTGCTGAGGTGGTAAGTGGAGGGGCAGACGTGGATCTTCTGAGCTCCTGCCACTGTAGAGTTCAGGGACCAGCACTTCCAAGGGGTCAGCAAAGTCTCCAACTGCTGGAGGAGGGCAGGAAAGAGGCACTAGCCCTGGGCCTGAGCAGAGGTGGCAGCATGGTCACCAGGGCTTTGCCCCGCCATGCCCTCTCTCTGGAATGCCTTCCCTTAATCCTGGCCTAATTCCTATTCATCCTTCTGGATTCAGGAGCAGCACCTAACAGGGGCCCAGGAAGTCAAATTAACTGGCCTGTCTTCCCCACCTGCGTTTTCTCCATCATTCCTCAGCACACTGCATTTTAATGGTCTGTGTCTGTGCCTTCCCCCACACACTGTTCACCTTTCTGTTCCCCACACCTGAGCGCACAGATAATGGGCAGCTTCTGTGGGTACCGAGAGTTTCCTGGCACCAGCTGAACTGGAAGTGTATCCCTGGGGCTACTTCTATAAAAGACATTATTGGTCAAGGGGCCATACCCTGTTTGGTGACCCAAGGTTCTCATGCGCAAAAGCCAAACCTCACCTGGGCGCAGCTGGAGCTTGCCCAAGATGCCCAGCAGATGGCGCAGTCGTCCTCCTTATCTTCCCACCCTGGCCTAAAATCGGAACAAAGACCAGGGAAGCTGAGGGAAGGTGGGGTAGTGGGCAGGCCTCTCCTAGAACCCCGCAAGGGGAGACGCTTCCTGCAAAAGAAAACCTCAGGCCCAGACCCTTCACCTAACAGAACTCTCCTGCTCAGGCCCTGGGCAACATAGGCAGAGAAGGCAGAAGACAGAGCAGGCAGCGCAGGCCCACCCAGGGCACCCATTCAACCCTGCTCCCCAGACCCAGCTGCAGAAGCCCCCAGGGTCTCCTCGGTGCTTCTGAAATGCCACCATTAGGGCCCATTAGATACAACTCTTCCAGATCAGGTTTTGCTCATGGCAACCATGCAAGTCCCACAGTCAGTCCACAGTGGAACTTTCTACACCTGGACAGGTGGTGGAGCCAGGATTCAAATTTAGGTCTGCTTAGAGCTAAGTCTCAGTTTCTCATCTCTAAAAGGGAGAGATGGAAAGTACTTTTTCCTGGCAATGCAGCTTGGAGGGGATTCATTGTACATGAAGGTGTCTGAGAAATAAAAGATGCCCAGTGTTGGTTTAACTTCAAATATGTACACAGGTGCCTCCACTGGGGTGAGCCCTTCCACACATCAGAGGACTCATCAGTTCTTTTCTGAGAGTAGGTTTGATGTGATGGGGTTGGGGATGGGGGGACATGGCAAGGAGTCCTTGTCACCTCTCATCTGGACGAGTCCAAAGGCCTCCAAACTGGTTCCCTGCCTCCCATCGTGCCATCCCTCTCACCCCGCCTCCCATCCTTCCTCCTCATTGCTGCAGGTGTCTTGCAAATGGAAATCTGATGTCACTCTCCTGCCTAAAATACTCAGAATAAAGCCCAAACTCAGAAAAATATTATTCAGTGTCCTTTACAACCTGATTTCTGACGACATTTTAGTCTCATGAAATAAAATTAAGAAATGGACTTAAATCAGAATCAGCAGTGCCAGGGCCAGGGGCTGGAATGGGTCCTGGGTGATGATTCGGGTCAGCTCTGGGCCTCAAGGCCAGAAGCAGTGACAGGATGAGGAAGAAGGGAATGAGAGGGCTTGGTAGCCCGCATTGTCCAATTCTCGATCTGCGTTTTCTCAAGGGCAGGGCCTGGGACAGTGCCTGTAGTTACAGATACTCAGTCAGGATTTGTTGAATGCATGTAGGAATGAATGAACAAATGAATGAAAAAAATGGCTATCCTGACTGGGACTAGGGTTGACTGAGTGGTCACTCAGTCAGTGCCACCAGCCACTGCCTTTTGCTAACCTCAGAGGCTGGAAGGGGCACTGCTGGAGGACAGTGAGGCTAAGGAGAAGAGAGCTCGTCTCAGCTGCACCATCTGGGACCCAGCTCTAGGGGTCTGGGTAACAGTGACATCAAGAGCAGAAATCCTAGAGCCTGCTATGCCCACAGCCTCTGAATGCTTGTCCCAAACCTCCCAAGAAAATCACCCGGGCTGCAGAGCCCCAGGGAACCCCCGTGGTCATCCAGGGTGCATGGGCATGACTGCTGACCATCTGTTTCCCAGGATGGATTTCTCCCTGGCACAGATGGTGAATCCAGACTCCTCTCTCCCATGTCAAACAGCCAGCTGTGGAAGACACTGCATTGCTGCAGTCTCTGCCTGGTCTCTCTCGTGACCCCATTTTCCACATCATTCGCCTCCACTCCTCTCCACATGTTGGTTTCATTTCAACCTTACCCAAAAAGAACTCCTCCCTCTGGTTGGTCTGTTGAGCCATCTCACAAAATGAAATTCATAGCGTCTGAAGCAGTGGGAAACTCTTCTCTTTGCTTGTTTAGCAGAGACATGGGTATCCCTTCATCCCCCTTCACAACCTTAGCCCATCCTCATCATGATCTCTCACCTGGAATACTGGATTAGCCTCCAAAGGGCACCCTGCACTGGCCTTGTCCTCCCCAAGTCCAGCCTTCCCAGTGCTTTCCAGAAAGTAAACTTGATCTGGTTTTACTCGCTAAACCTGGTCCCACCTTCCCGGGCTTCTCCATCTTAGTAAACAACAGCTCCAACCAGAGACGTGGGAAACATCACTGCCTCCTTCTCTGCCTGCTGCTATACCCACCTTCCTCCCATTTAATCCATTAGCAAGACTTGCTGGTTCTCTCTCCAAAATATACTCACATTGGTCCATTTCTCTCCATCTCTGCACCACCTTGGTTAATGACTCTGTCATTTCTCACCTATGGTAGCCTCTAAGCATGATGACATCTGACACCCTCTGCCTCCTGAGCTCATAACACTTTCCTCAGCACTCCATTCACACCAACCTTCCTTCAGTTCCAAGAGTCCTCCAAAGTCTTTCCAGCCGCAATGCCTGTGCACTCACTGCATCCCCCACCCACCCCTCGCCCTGCTCCAAACTGTAACACTCTTTCCCCTGCTCTTGAAAAGACTGGGTTCTTCCCATTTTTTTAATACTTATCTAAAAGATCACTATCTTAGAGAAAGTTTCTCAAGCTATGCTCTCTAAAGAGGATTCCTTCTTTTATTCTGAATCACAGCATCCTGTTCATTTCTTGCCCCCCACCACTCCACGCCATGGAAAGTCTTATTAATTCAGTGAACTGATGTGCATTCTCATTTATTTACCATGGTCGTTGTCTGTCTCCCCACTGGAGACATGAAGATGAGCAACTTGTCTATCTTGTTCGATGTTATATCCCCATAGCCTGGCACGGAGTACCTGCTCAATAAATATTTGCTAACTGAATGTAATAAATGAATGGAAGATGCATCATGGCACTGTCCTGCTTTTCTCTGTCAATGGCTTCCCATTGTCCCCAGTATGCTGTCAAAACTCCAAACTCCATAGGGCTCCATTAGAGTTTCTTCACGACCTTACCTCAGCTCACCTTTCCAATGTCTTCATTAGGTTTATGGGGAATCAATCTGGAAAGGTTCAAGTCATAATGGGTTCCATGGTGCAGACGAGAGCACTGGCCTGGCAGTGAGAAAAAGGGACATTGAACAAATGATCTTTATGATTCCAGGCAGTGCTTCCATTGTGCAGTCTGAGGTTTGTTTGAGTGTGTGGTTAGTTTGTTTGTTTGTTTGCTGTTTGTTTTTTAAACCATAGCTGGGATGAAACTCTCAATCAAGAAGCCAAGGGAGAAATTTGAGAAGAGAAGCAACAGCTCTTGCTGTCTTGGATGGCTGGGAAGGGATATGCAGAGATCAGGAATCCCTAGTGCTGACTCGGGCCAGGCAGCGTCAGGAGTCTCAAGAAAACAAACCCTGGAGATTGGCAGGTCCAAGAGCAGGGCGGGGGGCCACACCGGTCTCGTTCACCTTCTATCCCCAGTGCTTAGTCTTTGGCACATGGTAGGTCCTTGGTGAAAGGTTGGGGGGAAGCACATGCCACGGGGACCGGAAACCCCGTCCCACTCATGTCACTGCTGAGTGTCATCGAGATCACAAGAAAGCCCCCCAGGCCATGGTCCCTCTCAATGAGAAGCATCTATGGATGGCAGGGGCAGGGCTATTTGCCCCACTCGTCTGCCCTCCTCAGACCTCAACTGAGCCTTCAGCCGCCCCCAGTGTACATGTCCTACTGGCCCAGCCTCAGTTTTGCTCCCTCCACTGCTAAACATATCTGACAGATCAAACATATTTGCTGGCTCTTTGCAATGGCTCTGTGTCTAGATAGGGTTTCTTTTCTTTTCTTTTTCTTTTTTTTTTCTTTCTTTCTTTTCTTTTCTTTTCTTTTTTTTTTTTTTTTTTTTTTTTTGAGGCAGGGTCTCGCTCTGTTGCCCAGGCTGGAGTATGGTGTAATCTGGGTTCACTGCAGACTCAACCACCTGGGCTCAAGCAGTCCTCCCACCTCAGCCTGCCAAGTATCACACACCACAACAGCCCACCTGATTAAAAAAAAAAAAAAGTACAGATGCAGTCTTGCTTTGTTGCCCAGGCTGGTTGCAAACTCCTGGGCTCAAGCAACCCTCCTGCCTCAGCCTCCTAAAGTGCTGGGATTATAGGCGTGAGCCACTGTGCTCAGCCCCTGGTTTCTTGCTCTAATCCTCCCAAGCCCAGCAGCACCAGGCAGCTGCCAGGATTGAAGAAGGCACCTCCGAGTCTCTAAGTCAGCTTCCTCAGAGAGTGTTCCCTCGATTCCTAGGTGTGCGGCTCTGGGTATAGACCTCCGGGCTCAGCCCTGACCACAGATATAAATTGAGCCTCTGCAGCAGGGATGGGGTAGGAGGAGCTGAGGGTATCTAGGGGCTTTTTCATGAACCACAGTCCTTCCAAGCAGCACAAGCTTCTCCACAGCAAACCCCAAAAGCTGTGTGCACTTCTGATTAATCCACTGAGATGAGTCCGCTGAGAGGGCAAAGTATCTCCACGTTCACACTGGGCACCAGAAGTTGTCACACAAAGCATCTGGCGGGCATGCACACTAGGTCTTTGAATCCTCATATCCCTCAGCGGTGGTTTTATTATCTCCACTTCCTCAGATCAGGAAACAGAGCCTTGGAGATGAGAAATAATTTGCTGGAGGTCACAGCTAGGTCTGGCCCCACGTCCAGTGGTTTTCAGTTTCTGGACAAATTCAGGGCTGGGAAGTTACAGTGTGGAAAAGGATCATCCTCAGAAGATAAAAGTGTCAAAATCGACGAGATGGCCCCCCAGGAGTGCCAGTGATCTAAAGCTGGGAGCTCCAGGAACAAGGAGAAGGATGGCTGCCCCAGATGGACCGAGACCGGTCAGAGACAAAGGAGGCTGGGTAGATGTCTGGGAGCCTTGTGACATTAGGAGCAGCTGGAAATAGAGGAGGGAAAGAAAGAAGGAGGCTCAGGAGGTGGTAACATCAAAAGGCTATCTCATGGCAGGGGGGATGCATGTTATTCCAGGTGGCAGGGCAAGGTTGGTGTGGGGAGGACAGTGGGGAGGGATAGCTGGCTGGCTTTGTAGGGTTATTCTCTGGCTCTAGCGGTTGAGAATGGTAAAAGCTAGTGCTTTAACATCAGGTGCCTCTGTAGGTTCTTCAGAAGCCTCCATCCGAGGGTCCTAACACAGGTGCCTGTCTTCTCCAGTGGCCACTCAGGACTAACACCTCAGTTTTCTGTGATCCACTCCATTTACAGGTTTATTCTGTTGAAGCCACATCAGCGCCTCCAGGCTGAGGTTATACGTGGCTTGTAAATCCTAAAATATTTACCGTCAGGCTCTTTACAGAAAAAGTTTGATTAAAGTTTGATGAAAAAATAGTATATGTTATACACCTTGCTTTTTTTTTTCTTTAACCCAGTAACCTATCCTGAAGGTCTCCTTCTATCAGTACTTAAGAGCTTCTTCATTCCTTTCTAGGGCACACAGTATACCATTGTCTGGATGGACTATGATTTATTTAGCCAGTTTCCTATTGGTGGACAGTTAGGCTGTTACCAACCTTCTGCTATTACAAATGCTGCTGCAATAGGTAGATTTGTACAGGAAGCTGGAGAAAGTTCCAAGAAATGTATATGCCCAGATCTCAGCACAGATCTCCTGAGGCAGTGTCTTTGGAGTCAGAGTCCCAGGCATCTGTATTTTTAGGAATTCCCCAAGCGTTGCACATGCAGCCAGGTTGGGGAATCACATTTACAGCTCATGCCTTCTGACGACAAGAAAGGCTGGATCCCCTTTGCTGGTCCCATAAGAGTCCAGAGAGGGAGGCAAGCATCTCTCATCCCATAGAGGAATATCAGTCTTCAAGGCCTGGTTGGCACTGGCCCCCCAAAGATTGGACAGAAAATTAGGAAGCCAAAGTGGTATTGTGATCTCAGAGTTTTTTTGTCTCTATTGAGACACAGTCAGAGCCTGTTCTGGCCCAGGGCAATGATGGGGAGGTACAGGGGTTGTGGACCATGTCAAGGGACCCCCGGGGAGGCTGAGCTGGGGACATGACATCTGACTGAGACTGGAAGCATAAGTAAGAGTTAGCCAGAGGGTAACAGCTCTTGCTATCTTGGATGGCTGGGAAGGGATATGCAGAGATCAGGAATCCCTAGTGCTGACTCGGGCCAGGCAGCGTCAGGAGTCTCAAGAAAACAAACCCTGGAGATTGGCAGGTCTGAGAGCAGGGCGGGGGGCCACACCAGTCTCGTTCACCTTCTATCCCCAGTGCTTAGTCTTTGGCACGTGGTAGGTCGTTGGTGAAAGGTTGAGGGGAAGCACATGCCATGGGGACTGGAAACCCCATCCCACTCATGTCACTGCTGAGGGTCATCACAAGAAAGCCCCCCAGGCCATGGTCCCTCTGAATGAGAAGCGTCTACGGATAGCAGCGGCAGGACTATTTGCCCTGCTAGTCTCCCCTCCTCAGACCTCAATTGAGCCTTTAGCTGCCCCAGTGAACATGTCCTACTGGCCCAGCCTCAGTTCTGCTCCCTCCCCTGATAAAGGAGGGAGGGACACAGGGAAGATGGCCAGGCAGAGGGACAGCGCATGCAAAGGCTCAGAGGAGACAGTGAAGGGCTCAGAACTGACTGCAGGAATTCACGCTCATTCAGTCTGGCTGGAACCTCCAACTCATGGGCCTGTAATTCTTTGATTCCTGTTTTTTTTTCTACTAGGCTATGAGGTTTATAAGGGCGGGGCCTGTGCCCTTTTCCTCCATCCCTTTCTCTTTTTCCTCCCTCCCTTCTTTTCTTCCTTCCCTGCTTCTTTCCTCATTTTGCCTCTTGGCTATATCACTGGTGTCTCAAATATTGGTGAGTGAGTGAGTGAATGGACTTAGGTCTGGGAGGTTGCCCCAGGGAGAACCAAGTCTTGAGTGGTCTGCATTTGTTCTGAAGCTCTTTCTCCTCTCTTCTGTCCCTCTCCACCAGCACAGTGGTTCCCAGGGGTGCCTCTACAGCACCTTCATGCCGTCTCCAGCCCAGCAGTCCCCAGCTGCTCCTGCATGCTGGAGGTGGGGCTGCTGGGAGCCTGGCCAGCTGTGGGAGAGTAGGAAGAAGTGGGTCCCTGCTGACCTGTCCTTCCTTAAGCTTTGTCCTGGACCTTTTCCCTCTGAACCTTGCTGCCGACGAAGATGGAGCACCTGCGGAAGCTCTGTACTCCATCCAGACAAACAGTGGAAGCTGCACGGATAGTCCTCCCCAGGGCTGGAGCTGCCAGGGCTCAGAGGCTACCACAACACAGAACTCTGGGCCTCACTACACACGTGTCCTGGCCTCATCCTGAAGCTTCTCACTTTTCTAAGCTATGCATTCAGCGATTCCTGCAGGGGGAGCACTAGTCCAGAAAGAAGGCCCGCCATCAGCTGCCCAGTCCCGGGGTAAGTCGCCTGCCCTCCCATCTGCTGAGCCCTGGGATAAAAGAGACTCGCTCATGCTAGGAATGGGGCTGGAATCAGGTACTCCTCCCAAACCCTTTTTATCCTAGACAGTGCAGACCTGGCTGTGATCTGCCTCCTTTCCTCAGAGCCCCACCCTGTGGCACCGTCAAGTGAGGCTCCTTTGTGATCGCTCCCTCACGAGTTGTAAAGAGCGGTTCTCTTCTCTGTTCACAACGTGGGGCCATTTGCCATGCCCTTCAGTCCCACTGTCCACACTAGTTTAGGTGTAGCCCTCACCTGGACTCCTGACATCCTCCTAACAGGCTTCACCCCTTCTGTTGTCCCCTGAAATCCATTCTGTGCCAGATGGCTGAGTGGTCACTTTAAACCCATCAGATGTCATCACTCTTACACTTAAAACCTGCCACGAGGCTCACCATAACACCTGCGCTCCTTGTCCCAGCCTCCCCGGCTCAGTGGGCCCCCTCTCCTCCCTGCACTTTCCCCAGGCATGCTGACCTCCCTCTGTTCCTCAATCACATTGAACTCCCTTCTGCACAAGACCTTGGCACCAACTCTTTGGTCACCCTAGAATACACTTCCCCCAGATCCACATGTGGCTGCGCAGGGTTCAGCCCCAGTGTGACCTTCTCAGGGAGGCTTCCTTGACCACTCAACCCAAAGTCACAGAGCATCTTTTTTACATATCACACTTGCTGAAATGATCTTGTTTGGCATTGTCTGTGTACTCCCACTGGAAGACAAGCTCTAGGAGAGTGTGAACCCTGTTTGTCATTTTCACTGTGGGGTCCCCACCTTCTGGAGCTTGAATTCCCTTCTCTTTAGAGCTCTGCGGGAGCTATATCTTTGTCACGGTTCTGAATCTTTTCAACAAACACTTTTGTTAGGCAGGAGGTCCAGCAGCCCCTTGCTTTTGGTTTTCAAAACTTAACTAAGATTCACAAATTAGAGCTCAGATCCAATCTCAGAGGACAGAGAATACTCCAGTTGATTGGCTTCTCTTTCTTTGATGTGAAGCCCTTTCATTTCTCCTACCTGCCTGCTGCCTTGCCCCACGCCATCTGCCTCCACCCTCCACAGACGGGCCCCTGGCCCCAGCCCTACTCCCTTGCCACCCATCCATCAAAGGAAGACAAGATCGGCTCAGGAGCCCCTGAGCTTATCTGAATCAAAGAAAACTAGGAAAAGAAGATACAAACAACATGCAGGGAGGGGAACAGGGCTATCAGAGGCCCTGGTCACAGAAGAAGTCAGCCAAGAAGCGTGCCAGGTGTCTGTGAGGGCGCGCAACCCTGACCCAGTGACTCACAGCGTGATGGACTCACTCTTGGTCAAGCTTTCCCCTGCATGAACAGCACCCACTGAGCCAGGGAGACTCTAGGGGAAAGTCCTAGAGAGCTATGTCTTAACACCAGCTTTGCCTTGCAATTTTTAAGGTGTCTGCATCTGTTTATTCCCTTGTCTCTTTATCTCCTCTTTAACCACTGCCCCCACCCCCTGCCCCAGGTGATATGAGAAAGAAAATAATAGCAATGTGAGCCAGACACTGTTCTGAGCCTTTTAAATGCTTAGAATGTTTCATTCACACAACAACCCTGTAAAATGAGAACTATTATTCCCTTTTTTTCACAGAAAACTGGGCACCGGGGAAGTTATGTAACTTGCCCAAGTTCGCATAATTAGTAAGGAGAACTGGAATTTGCTCCCAGGCAATCTTATTGCAGAGTGTGTGCTCTTAGCCACTCTACCACTTTTTCTCTAGTAGGATAATGGAGGCGAACAAGCCTGTTAACTGTGACACCCCCATGTAAGCATTCATTGTTTTTCAACCTCTTCTTCCCTGGCTTCTAGCATCCTCTGTGTCTCTATTCGAGTTTTTCTGCCCTGGGGCACAGAGGTGCCCAGGTGGACCCCTACCTTCTGGGAACCAAGCACCCAGTGCACAGCCTGGCATAACAGGTGCACAGGTGTTTATACAGCTGGACTCCACCTAGGAGGGTGGTTGAGGAATGAGGGAAGGAGGATAAAATGGTGGAAAAGCTGGAATTCATAGAGATTATTGATCATTCTATTAGTAATAAAAAATAGCTAATGTTTACTGAGTTGTAATTCCATGTCAGACATGGTTTGAAGCATTTCAGGTATCAAATGAAATGGTTATGCTGTTGATAAGGGTAAGATTATATATCAGATAAGTTGATATTTGGAAAGCTTATGCTGTCCAATCTCACAGATGGCCTCCAGGGATCCTCGCCTCCTGGTATCCTTATCCGTGCTTAGTCCCAGCCCAAACTGAGTCAGGGGTGACCTGTGTGACGCCAGTGCATCGTGACTTCCCCCTTGGTCTCTTGGATCACTCACTCTGAGGGAAGCCTGCCCCCATGCAGGGAGGACACTTAGGCGGTCCCATGGTGCAGCCTGTGTGGAAAAGAAATGAGGCCTCTGGCCAACAGCCACGTGAGTGAGACAACTTGGAAGTGGATGCTCCAGCCCCGCTTGAGCCTTCAGATGATGCAGCACCAGCCAATATGTGACAGCACCCTCACAAGAGGCCAGAACTGCCCAGGGAATCACCCCTGAATTCCTGGTCCATAGAAACTATGAGATAGTAAATGGTGGCTGTTTTATGGCACTGCATACCAAAAATAAAATTCTAAGGCCCCCAGTCATCTGAATGGACTTCCTCCTCAGCCAGGGCATTCTTAAAATTTAACCTGAAAGACTAGTTCAGGCCTTGATGAGAAGTAGAGGTTGGATATGTCTCATTATACCTCTCTAGCATTAACATCAACACAGACTTTAGTCTGATAAGAAACATTTTACAACCTATTCTCTCTGAAGCCTACCATCTGAAGGCTTCCTCTGCAAATAAGAATTTGGTCTCCACAATATTTTATATTAACCCAGACATTCCTTTCTATTGATCCCACGTCTTTAGATAAACTCAACCAATTGTCAATCAGAAAATTTTTACATCTACCTATAAGCTGGAGGCCCCTGGTTCAAGTTGTCCCACCTTTCTGGACCAAACTAGTGTATTTCTTAAATGTATTTGATTGAAGTCTCATGACTGTCTAAAATATATAAAACTAAGCTGCACCCCGACCTCCTTGGGCACATGTTCTCAGGACCTCCTGAGGGCTGTGTCATGGGCCATGGTCACCCATATTTGTCTCAGAATAAGCCTCCTCAAATATTTTACAGTGTTTGACTCTTTTTGTTGACAACACTGAGTTTTGGGGTAATTTGTTATGCTGCAATAGATAACGAATACATCAACTCTCATTTAGTCATCACAACAACTTTACAAAGTAGATCCTTAAATTATCCAGCATAAAGCTAGAATGGGTGGTGGCAGGCTTCTAGCCCAAGGAGTCCCACCCCAGAGCCTGCTCTGTAGATGTTCATGGGATGGTGCCCCTCTCTTGAGAGATTCTCTGGGAGACATAGCAGACCACAGTACCAGCCTCTCCTCAGTATCACCTTAAAAATTAAAGAGTACTGTGACCCTTCTCTAAAGATTTTGACTCACCTTGTCTAGAATGGGGCCTGTAGCCAACTCAAGGCCTGAATATTTCAGGACTCCCTAATCTTCTCAGAACGCCTCAGTATGCAATTATGGCTATCCCATTTGACTAGTCAGGAGGCTTAGACTATGCTGCAGTGACCAGAAATCTCAGTGGTTTAACACATAGAGGTTCATTTCTCCTTCCTGTCTCAATCTGACAGCAGGTGGGCAATTCTCCTCCATCTTGAACTGTGCCATCTGGAATACATGGCTTCCTAAATCACTGCAACAAGGCAAGGGAAAGAAAGTAGAGACCATTCGACATGTTTATAAGGGCCAAGACTGAAAGTAACTTATATGATGCCCAATATTCCTTGGCCAAAGCCCAGTCACATGAGCCTAATACCACTGCAAGGGAAGCTGGAAAATATGAAAAGCAAATGCATATCTGGTGAATCACATCAATGCTCTGCCACACCTATTATTTGCTGGCAATAATATACTATGTTGCAGATTTCTGTTTATCTTGATTTCTCAACTAGATAGAAGCTCTTTGAGGTCAAGAACAACCTTTAATTTCTCCCCTATAGGGCTGATCACTTGGTCACTGCTAAATGTGCTCTTCTGGATAAACTGGTGACATGGTCATTCTAAGGAAGTGACTAGTGGCCATGTGACATAGAGTCTGACAGATTTGGGTGCAAATCCTAACTCTAACCCTCGCTTGGCAAGTTCTCTAAGCCTCGGTTGTTCTGCCTGTGAAATAGGAATGACAATGACTGTTTTACAAAGTTAGAGTGCGAACTAAATGAAATAATTTAGAATATCAATTACCTGCCACACGTCATGCAACAGAGAGGAGGCTCAAAAACGATACCTATTATAATCTACAAAACCAGGGGCATCAAGAAGGATGAAATTCCTGGGGGCCTATGAGCCCCTTGAAATTGTATGCAAATATTTTGTATATGTAGGAATCCATAGGGACCTTTCACTACTCACTTTCCTTGTTTATTTATAAAAACACACATGTCATAATTCATTGTACAATGTTTACATATTACAGATTATAATAGCTCATGCATATTGAGGGCTTACCATATTCCAGGCACTGCTTTGGGTGCTTTGTGTGCATAAATCATGGAGCCCGTGAACTAGAGGCTGTTATTTTCATCCTTATTTTACAGATAAGGAAACCGATTCACAGAGAGATTAAGCTGCCAAAGGCCCCCCACAGCCAGTAAGTAGCTGAGTTGGTCTCAACTCAAACCCAGGCGGTCTAACTACACAGCACATTTCCAATGTCAGTCGTACTCAGACCAGCAGCAGCAGCACCTGGGAGCTTGTTAGAAATGTGAATTCTTGGGTCCCTCCCCAGACCTACTGAATCAGAACTCTGGTTTTTAATGAGCCCTCTCGATGATTCTGATGCACGTTAAAGTTTGTGAACCCTGTGCTCTGCTATTGTGCTGCCTCTCCACCCCATCAGTTAGTTCTTCTGGTACCTAGCACAGGTCTGTGGCTTACTAAGTGAACAAATTAATACTGTCACCTACACATAACTCTGGTTCAAAACCTTTCTTCTTGCATCTGATGTCAGAAGCATCAGAAGGAAAAAGCCTGCCCAAAATAAATTGGAAAGTGTCCTCCTTTGTCCTATTGGGGTCACCTGCACCCCTAGCTCTCCTCAAACTGGACAAATCAGCCATCAGAGCAGATCACTGGTCAAAACCAGACCAGAGCCCCATGCTGTCTGCATGCCAAGGAGAAAGGCAGAGAGTGGCTGGCTGTACCCCCAGGATGCTATTTTGTTCCTTGCCAACCACCATGCATCTCAAACAAGTGTGCAGCAAACAGATTGCAGCCCGGGACTCTCCCCACCCTCTGCCCCAGCTGTTCCTGCCTTGACGCCCAGCCTCTTCTCTGTGATCCCTCTGATATCCAGATGGCAGCAGACACAGTAGCAAAGGCAGCTCCAGGCAAGCAGCTCCCAAGCCAGCTGTGTATTTGATTAACAAGAAAGCCAGGCAGATGCAGCTTATCGGGAGGACTCACAAAGGCAGCGAGCAGACGGCCACAAAATGCCAGCCTGTTTTATCCTCTGCCCAGCCAAGGGAATTTTTCATGTTGATTCTGATGTTTGTTAAATGATACCATAATGACAGCCACTATGACGAAGCCCTTTCTATGGGTCAGGCATCCTGCATTACAACAACCTTTTGGTGGAGATAGTGTTGTTATTATTATCCCTAATTTACACATAAGGAAACTGAGGCTTAGAGTGACAAAATAACTCATCCAAGGTCACAGAGATGGTAAGTAGTGAAGTCAGTTTTCAGACCTGGGTCTACTGGACCCCCAAGCCTATATGACTAACCACTGCACTACACAGTGCAAGCCGGCACGGTGCACTTGAACTTGGGCCTGAGCAGGCCTGATGGGGCTCTTCAAGCAGCTACAACCCATATGTGCAGCCTCCTGGAAAGCATCTCAAAAAGCTTATTGAGTGTAATCTTCACAGCCAATTACTGAATAGATCCTCTTTGTTTAGAATTGTGATATTTTGTTGATCATGGATTTTTTTGCATTAATTTTGATTTTTAAAAATATTGCATTAAAATATTATTTATGTTGGCTACTGAGCTTTCTGGCACCCCCTTAAATTTTGTGCCCAAGACAAGGGTCTCACTCACCTCACCCTAGTCCCAACCCTGTTTAATTCTACAAGGTAGGGCGCTGGTGCAGTGTGAATAAATTATTGCACATCTACAGATGGGGAAACTGAGGCTTGAGGGGGACAAGGTGTGAATAATTTACCTAAGGGCACACTGCAGGTGGCTTGGGATATATTTAGTCCTGGGCTTGTCTGACTCCCGTGCCTCTGTTCTCACTGCACAAAGTTGCCCCCAGAGCACATCTTTGAAGTCATTCAGGACTGCTTTGCTACAAAGTTGGCCTTCCGAGACGGCCAGAAACCCACCCTGGGACTCCTATATCACACAAGGGTGATATGATGGCAGATTCTGCAGAGCCACCAGGGCACATTGGCTCTGCTCACCAGGTAAACTCCTTGATCTGCAACACAGAAGTAAAGAGAGGGAAAGGGCCTCAAACTAAAAGGGCCCTGGAGGACGGATCTTTTATGCCTTTCCCGAGGCTGGGGATGCACTGAAGATGCAGAGGCAGCTCCCAACCCACCATGTGACCCACCCACCCAGCAGCCTGCGGGAAGATGAGGACATCAGGCTCTTTGTCTCTTTTGTCTTTGGTTTCCCAGCTCCTCTCTGAGAAGCCACCTCATCTATTGGATGGAAATGATGGAGGCACTCTTTCAATAGGGATGCTTTGTTTTTCTTCTGGTTTAGGCCTCAGCTGGGTGTTTAATGTTCCCAAGGAGACAGCTAGTCTGGGGAAGAATGGGAAGAGGCTTTGCCTTTGCCCCATCCCCTGCTGGGCAGTTCTGTGTCTTGGCTCTGACTGAGGAGCTCTGGAGGCATGAATCTTGGGCTCTCTGGACAGAGGTCACTCTAGCAAGGTTAGGAGCCTGGAATGCAACAGAGAGATATCAGGGAGGGCAGCCAAGGGCTTCTAGCCTAGGCAGCTCAGGTTGGTTTCAGAGGCTCAGAGCAGAATTTGGGAACCCAGTGGCCATCCTAGGCCAAAATATAAACCATTCTCCAGAAATGAAAGAGGAGAATTCAGCCCCAATGCAAGCCATCTTCTTGCTGTTACTGGTGTCTCTTGGCCTCAGGCCACTTTTCAGAGGGTTGGTCACCCACTCCCCAGGCAATAAAGCCTCAGCTCCCAGCACTGGCACTACAGGGCACTAGAAGCCAGAGATTTGGTGAGCTGTAGTCTTCTCCTTGGATATAGGCTTGAGTTGTGGACATCTTCTGTGAATGTCTATTTAGGCATCTCCCTGCCTCTGGTCCTTGAAATACAACAGAGTTCTAAGAAAGAGTTGACTCTGTCACCCCAAATGCCCAGCCCAGGAGGACTGCCCTGAGTTTTTAAGGCAGTAGTACTTTAAGAAATAATGGTAGACATGATAGTGGGATGAGATATCACTTGGCTTGTATATAGTTATCTACTACTGCATAACAAATTATCCCCAAACTTAGTGACTTGAAACAGCATTTATTTTCTCACAGTTAATGTAAATCAAAAATCCAGGCACAGTTTAGCTGGGTACTCTGCCTTAAGGTTTCTCACAAGACTGAAATCAATGTGTTGACTGGGGCTGTGGTCTCATCTGAAGGCTTTGCTGGGAAGGGTACACTTCCAAGCACACATTAGTAGGATTCAGTTTCCAGCTGTTGGCTGGAGGCCACCCACAGTTCCTTGACAGATTGGCCTGTCCATCAGGACAAACATATAAGAAGAAAAAGATAAGTCAGTGTTTTCTAACCTAATCATGGAAGTGACATCTCATCACTTTTGCCTTATTCTATTGGTTGGAAGCGAGTCAGTAGGTCCAGCCCATGCTTAGGGAAGGGGATTACACAAGGGCAGGAATATCAGGAGGCAGAGTTCAATGGGGTCATGTCAGAATCTGCCTCCCATAACCTTTTGGGCTGAACAGGCTTTTTCTGCAAGCTATACATTCGTCTTTCTGGAAACCTTCTATTAACTGCAGGGAGTTCCTTATACAATGTGGCCATAATGACACTGGCCATAATGGATTGGACAAGAGTAGAATACCTGACCAAAGACAACCCCAGTGGGGTGGGGGGCTCAACTCCATCAGAACCCATTTTTGGCAAATTTGAATGGAAAACTCAGAGAAAGACAAAGATCATTCACTTATTCAAAAGAATTCCAGGCACTGGGTATAAAATGGTACACAAAACAGGCATGGTCCCTGTCTTCACAGGGTAGATAGGCAGAGGTGTAAAGATGCAAAGTGCAAAAGCAATAGGCAAGAACTGGGAAGGCCATGAACTAGGTAGGCCATTGGAGATCACGAGAAAGCAGCAGCTATGAGGGAGGTAAAGAGAAGAGGGAGAAGGATAGTCAGTAATGCAGGAGAAATAGAAGCAGAGGCAAAACATAGCTGAGCTGCCCCAGTGGCAAGCCCAGGTTTAAGGAGAAATGGATGACTGCTCACTAGCTTAGCAACTCTATTGAAGAGATACCATCTTTCCTGAAAATCCTGCAGATCAAGGAGGACTCTGGTTGGCCCAGGTTGGGTCACTTGCCCATCATTGAACCAAGGGGCTGGAGTTCCCAACCAGCCATCTCTGAGTCACCTGCTAGGCTAGGGGAAGGTGAAGGAGCTGGGGTCAGCTTCACTTAAAGCACATGAAAAATGAGTTTTGATTCCAGAGGCAGAGACCCTGGGCAGGTAAAACAAAAGATGTCTATTGTACATGGAGTTTAGAAGAGGACAACTAGGAATTGTTGGGTGCTAATGTCTCTCTGTGAGGCATCGCTGGACAGATTTCGGATAGCTGTTTTTCAGTTTCTACACAACTATGGGCCATTCATTCCTCCAATGGTTCTTCTGTGTGCAACCTCCACAGGTAATCCTCTCAAGAAGTTCTGAATTCTGAGCACAGAAGGCATGTTTTGATCCCTGGGCCAGTTGTTTAAATCAGAAACTCAGATGTTTACTTCCATTTCTAGCTTATTGATTTCTATTAGGCTACATGTTGAAAATTTTCTACACTGGCAACTTTTCTTTCAAACATATTTTTTTCCTATTCTCCTATTTTAGGTCAGAGGACATTAAAAAAGAGAGAGGATGACTCTCTCTTGACTTCGGCTGTGGGTTCACTCAACAATACTGTTATGAAAGGTTCTTGGCATCTGTTGATTCATCCTTGTTTTCTTTGCAAATTCAAATCTTTGTCTAAGCTGCCCTGAAGCCATAGTGTGCTGGAACTGGCTTGTGCTGACTCTTGACAGCTTCTGTACCCCATGCTGCATTAGGTCATATCTTGTGGTTAGCTTGAAACTGGCTATGGTGGGAGTATTTACAACATGGAAATCTGCAAATGTTACGATTCATAGCTTTCCTCTACTCCCCCAACACCAAAGAGCTGGTGGTTAAATATTCACCAGCACACCACTGCCTTTTAGGAAAAGCCTTCTGACATGGCCTTATTTTAACAACTTTCCTATTTCCTTGTGCTTTTAGGGCCATTTAAAAAATTACGGCATAGCTGAGTTATTTAGTTTCTCTCTTTATCTCTCCTACACTGCTACTTTTAATATTTTCCCTCACCAGAGAGCCTGACAATGCAGTAGACTAGTTGGTATATATCTGATTGCTGGGGACAATCAGTGTAACAAAACCCTGAACTCTGCAGCAAATTTCTGCCTTCCTTCCTGAGGTTTACAAAAATACTTTAATTATATCCCTCAGTTTAGCTGTAGACCGTGGTTAAAATTCAGCTTCTATAGATATGCCTTCTGGTCTAGTAGTTTTCAGGGGCTATTTTGCAAGGTAATTGTTCTTTTCCTGAGACAAACTTCCTTAGAAGCTCACGAGAGAGAGCAGAAGAAGTAGAGGAATGTAAGTGGTGGTGATGAGCAAGGAAAGAGAGCCGAGCACAGAGGAGAGAGTTCTGAGTCTGAGCAGGAGCTAAGTAGAATTTTTGTGACAGGTTCTGTCCGTATCAATGCTTTGTTTTGAGTCCTTAGTCTATCCATCAAAAAAGCTGACTCCTGAACTTTGAATATGTTTTTCTCATCATTTTCCAGAGCTATTGTGAAATGTATTAATTTCCTAATTTTGACATGTCACAATTTCCCCAAAATGATCAGTTCTCAGTGTCGGGGGCTGAATTTTGTCTCTCTGAGATTCATATGTTTAAGTCCTAATCCCCAGTATTTCAGAATCTGACTGTAATTGGAGATAGGGTCGTCACAGAGGTAATTAGGGTGAGCCCTAATCCAATATGACTGGCATCCTTCTAAGAAGAGAAGATTAGAGCCAGGTGCTGTGGCTCAGGTCTGTAATTTCAGCTTCTCAGGAGGCTAAGGCAGGAGGACGGCTTGAGGCCAAAAGCTCGAGACCAGCCTCGGCAACATAGCAAGACCTCATCTCTAAAAAAATAAATAAAAATTACCTGGGTATGGTGGTGCATGCCCTTAGTCCCAGCTACTAGGGAGGCTGAGGTAGGAGGATGGCTTGGGGCCACAGTGAGCTATAATCACATCACTGTACTCCAGCCTGGGCAACAGAGCAAGACCCATCAAGAAGAAGAAAAAAGAAAGAAGAAGGAGGAGGAGAAGGAGAAGGAACAAGAAGGAGGAGGAGGAAGAGGGGGAGGAGGAGGAGGAGAAGAGGAGCAATTAGGACACAGAAAGACACTGAGAGAAGACCCATATGACAACACAGGGAGAAACCAATCCTGCTGACACTTTGATCTCAAACTTCTAGCCTCCAGAATTTCAAGAAAATCAATTTCTGTTGTTTAAACCACTTGGTCTGTGGTACTTTGGCATGGCAGCCCTAGCAAGCTAATATACTAAGTAAACAATTTTGTTTTGTCACTTACCAAGTTAAAAGTAAATTCGTACAAAAAGCAGGAGTTCTGTTAGGAAAAGGTTGAGGCTTTGACCTAGCCAATCTCATGACAAAAAGACCACCATAGTTAGTCAAGAGTGTGTGTACTTGTAAAGAGTGTTTCAACCAACCAAGCAGAATCTAGGAAGAGGTCACACAATCAATGATGCAACAATTGTTGACCTTGGGACAGACTGAACAAAATGACCTTCTTTTACACGTTGATAAGATAGGGAACATCCTCATAAAATTTGGAAAGGGATTGAGAGCAAAATCTGATCCATCACTTTTGCATGAATTAATTGCTTATCTCCTGAACCTCCAACTCGCAGTCCTCAGGGCTAGCTTGGATGGGATTGGAGCCTACGCCTCCAGCTATCCTTGTGGAGCACTCTCTCATGCATTTAACAGACACAAGACAGTGCAGATCAAATCAGAGCTGCACAAGATGAGACTTTGTACAAACAGTCAAATAAAAACAAAAGCAAAGCAAGCAGGAAAAGAATAAGCAGATTAAAGGCAAAAATATTCAACAAATGATGCATTTCCAAAAAAGAAGTGCTAATTATACAAAAAGACTGAGATCTCATTTTCTTGTACAAAGAACTCTTTGGTTATGAATTCTAGGATAACAAAATAAATTCAGCAAAGACATTTTAATGAAACACGTCAGGGAAATCCACAAAGTAAGTAGAATTAGGGCACAGAGGACCTGGGCTCAAAGCATCTGTTGTCAAGTCCCATGGAATTCTGTCAACTAGGCGTTTTCAACACAATCTCATCGGGACCTCTGGATTTATCAAAGGAGGAGACCACCACTCAAAATCTGAATATCTTTCTTAAGTAAGGAATACCCATTGTGGTCAGGAAAATTTCTCCAACCAAAGCAAACTGCCAGTCTTTTATAGAGTTGTTGGGAAGAGTATTTCAGGTTGTGTGGCTTTTAGAAGCAGGGGTGGGTTGATATCAGCCTTAGAAGGATGTTCACATAAGTGAGTCCACCAGGGATTGGTTTACTTCCACATCATGAAGCTGCTGTGGATTGGTTGGCTTTCAGAGTTTTGTTCATTGAAGTGAGTTACCACTCATCAACTTGTCCAAATTGTAAAATTAGCTTTTCTTTGATACAAAGATTATAGGACTGTCATTGATGGATTAGACAGGTTTAAAACAAAGTGATGGAAACTTGTCATCTTGACTATGGAACAACCAATTATTTCCTAGGATTGTGGGAACACCATGTAACAATCATTGTATTTTACCTATTTATTTGGCTTATTGCCTTTCTCTTCACTGGAGGAGACATATAGGTTCCATGAGGGCAGGGATTTTGATGTATTTGATCCCTGCTGGATTTTCAGCATCTAGATCAGTGCCTAGCACACAGTAGGTGCTCAATAAATATTTACTAAATGAATGAGGGAGTTTGACCTCCAGACCCTGAACTGTAGAAGCCACAGGGAAGATATGGTTTGCTATTTGCATTACTTTTTAAAAAAAATCTCTTACCAGAGGGGCTGAGCTGGATCTAATCATGATAAATGCTTTTGAATTTAGGGTGATTAATGAACTGTGGGACAAGGCTAAGTGTGTGGTATGCTCATTGCCTCTTTTTTATTTATTTATTTATTTATTTATTTATTTATTTATTTATTTATTTATTTTGAGATGGCATCTCACTCTGTTGCCCAGGCTGGATTGCAGTGGCACGATCTCAGCTCACTGCCAGCTCCGCCTCCCGGGTTCACGCCATTCTCCTGCCTCATCCTCCCCAGTAGCTGGGACTACAGGGGCCCGCCACCATGCCCAGCTAATTTTATTTTGGATTTTTAGTAGAGACGGGGTTTCACAGTGTTAGCCAGGATGGTCTCGATCTCCTGACCTCATTGCCTCTTCAGATCACGTTCCAACTCTGCTGATGCTGTACATGCAACAAATTTTGGACACTGGAGGCATCACTTGGATCATTAATCTTGCAACATTCTTGCCCTGGCTTTGTAGTAATAGAGACTTTCTGCCTTTGGTCTTTTCTTCCTGGAAAGTGAATTCCAGGAAGAGATATATCATAGTGACCAACAACTTAGGCTGTTAGTAGAGGTGTCACTTTGAGAAAGGTCATTAAACTTTCCCGAGCCTCAGTCTCCTCCTCTGTAAAATGGAAATAATAATAGAACTCATTCACATACTTATTTTTGTCATTGTCATCACCAGCAGCAAACATGGTCATCCATGCTGTGGGTCTCTAACAAACTCCCCAGGTCCCAGCACTAGCCTGCCAGGACCCTAGAGTCAACAAGGGTGGACAGAGAGGTCATGAGCTTTTCTAAACAGCTGACTTTCATGAGAGTTAGAAGAGGAATGGTGAGATAAAAGTTACTGATAGGCATAATCAGCCCAAAATGACTATATTTCATCTATACATTCAATGGGAGGAACCAAGTAAATCCAAGAAAGGTAGTGGTGACAGATTCTTTTGTTTGATTAATTCAATATCTAAACTCCTCCCCGCTCACCCAACTTCACTATAGAGGCTGGAAATGTCAAATACTTGCTTTTCCAGCCTCCCTTGCTGCTAAAGATGGTGACATGACTGTTTGGGCCAATGACATGTAAGTGGAAATCTGCTGGGGGATCAGGAAGAGCTTGCTTTCCTGACAACAGGGACATAGTTATTGTTGCCATCTCTTCCATCTTTCTTGACTTGACTTTGGACATGATGCCTGGATCTGGGGCAGGCATCTAGTGAGTGAAGCAAAAGCATTATGCCTGGAGCTGGGACAGACATCCAGTGAGTGAGGCAAAAGCATTAGGGAACTTGAAAGTGACTTCCAGAGATGCCAGCCCTGAAATCACTGACCCACTGAACCAAGGCCAGCAGCCACCTATAGACTTTTGCTATTAAGAAAAACAAAACAACAACAACTGACGAACCATATTTGAGTCAGATTTTTTAGTACCTTGCAGCCCAAAGTATTCCTAACTGATCCAATGCTGCTCGACCAGGAAGGAAGCCAGTATTGATTGAACTCCCTCTGCACATCCTCCAAAGACACATTGCATATTAGTTTTCAAAGGGCAGCTATGGTCTGCAGAGTACCTATAGGAGACCTACCAAGGGCCTGAAGAAATTTGACTGTAATTACTTTTGCATGCTGATAATCTTTGGGGGCCTAGATTCAGATCTAGGAGGAAAATGAAATGAGGGCTGTAGTAGGCAGAATAATGGCCTCCCCAAAGACGTCTGCATCCCAATCCTCATCCTAAGTAACGTGTTACCTTACATCATAAAAGGGATTCTGCAGATATTATCAAGTTAAGAATCCTGAGATGGAGGGATTATTCTGGGTCATCTGGATGGGCCCAATGTAATCATAAGTGTCCTTGTAGGAGGGACATGGGAAAACGGGAGAAGGACCTGTGACCACAGAAGCAGAGGTTGGAGGTTGGCCACGAGACAAAGAATGTGGCAATGTGTAGAAACTGGAAAAGGCAAGGAATGGATTATTTACAGGAGCCTCGAGAAGAGATGCAATTTTGCCAACATCTTGATTTTATCCCTGTAAGATCCATTTTGTACTTCTGACCTCCAGAACTGTAAGGTAATACATTTGTGTCATTTTCAGCCACTATGTTGATGATAATTTGTTCCAACAGCAATAGGAAACTAATACATGGGCCTTCTACTTTCAAATGTGCTCTATCCTTTTCTAAAATCAAGGATCCGGCTTTTATCTTATTATAAAAATCAAAGCCTACTCTGTTATATTAATTAGTGCTAGACTGGAGAAAATACGATTTTCCAATAATATACTCTAAGGTCTGTCCCTTGGGTGTTTCTGGCCCTGTGCTGGTCTATGCTAGCCTGTTTGTACTCAGATCCACCCACCAGCCTTTCCCTGCTCTCTGCTCTGCTTCACACTGCAGAAAACTACACTTTCAAGAATCTCTTTCCAGCTGGCATCCAGCTAAATTTGGCCAATGGGCAGCACTGACAGAAGGTGGGAAGAAGGGAGAAGCCAGAATATTTCTTCATCTTTTGCTCTGCCTCGAGTGGCAGCCCCAGCTCTGGCTGTATTTCCTTGTTGGATCCAGTTCCTACTGGACAGTTCTTGCTTCTGTAGTCCTGGGATCCAATGGGCATCAGCCACCATGATTTTGGCTCCTCCCTTGGTCCCTGCAGCCTGGGAGTGAAATGACTCCCTACAGTTTCTAGTCTCTGGGTTGTTCAGCTTATCAGCTCTTCCACCCCGTGAATAACCAATTCCTCATACTAATTGCCCTTTGTTTAAAAGACCTACAGTGGCTGCTTTTCTGATTTGCCCCCTCCTACAAAGCCACTGCAGACAGTCCCACAGTCCTGTGTTCTCTGGTTTCCAACCAATTTACATGCTCTGAGGGTGTGGACTCTGTCTTCTGGGACTACGATAGCACTTGACATGTGCTGGGCTAAGTCTGTTATATTTGATTTAGCCATGGTTTAAAAGAAGGGGACAACAAGTCTGGCAGTGATGGCTTGTTCTCTGTTTCCCACTCTCCCTTACACAGTAACAGAATCCTTGGCCTTTAGCTAGGCACTCCACATGGCTGCCCCCAAAAGCCCACCCTTCCCAACGTCCTTACCAAGTAGATATGGACATACAACTAAGCTCTGGTTGATAGAACATGAGCAGAAGGGAGGTGTGCAACTTCTGGACTGCACCATCCTTTTCTCCTCCTCCTCTCTCCCGTTGGCTGGACAATGGCCATGGTGGTGGGCCATCGTCAGACAAGAGGACAAGGGCAACACCCAAGGACGGCAGAGACACAGGATGGAAGGAATCCAGTCCCTGATGTCCTGAAGCCATCATAACAGCCCTGGATTCCTTGTGTTTGAACTGCTAGAGAGTTGGGGAGAAACAGACATCTATCTTGTTTGAGCAAGTCTAGTTTTGGTCTCAGCCAAGCAGCCAAACCTATAGCCTAATCACCGCAGTGACATCAGGAGATGCTGAGATTGGCCTGCAGTCAGCCCCTCTGTGCTTATGCCCTTGTGGCACTGTCCTTCCCTCCCTTTGATGGTGATCCATGAGACGAAGAACTTTTTTGTTCTGTAATGAATTCTTACCTCCTGGCACAAACCATACATCGCAGACCTCTACTACATGTTTGCAGAATGAATGATGGAATCAGAGGCCTGAGGTATATTTGCCACTTGTCTTCAGCAGGGGGTCACCATGAGTACTCAGGATCTCTTGACCTGTTGGCTTTGGCTTTCACATGTCCGTTAATCACATTAGAATCACAGTATTACAATGACTTAATAGTTACTTATTTAATATTCTTACTTTACCCAGGTGGAAGTTAAGCCCAAAAGGACCACACAGCAAGCTAGGAGTAGAGCTGGGATTGAAATTCAGGTTCACTGCCTATGAGGTCCATGCTTGTTCTACTGCTCCAGGGCCCACTGTCTATATGTAAACTTTCCAGTGGAATTGCTTCTGTTCTTCCCCTGAGTCTGGTTCTGGGAGCTCTCTGGCTCTCTTGCATCTCCTCTCTGATGGTTTGGATTTGGAGTATCAGGAAGAAGAATGTGTTGGGAGCTCAGCAGGAAATATCCTTTGCCTGGGTGCTCTGCGGCAGTTTCTGGGAAAAGTCTCCTCTACTGCAACACCCCAGCCTGGGAGCAAGGATATCCAGCTCCAGTGCCTGTAAGTTGGGGGTTAGGTTTGAAGCAATAGCCTCTTTCTTCCTTTCCTGAATTCTGGCCTATAATGTATCAATACAGAGAACTGAACAAAATGGGGCTTAAAAGTCAGGTTCGAGAGTACGCAACCAAGACTGAGGCCAAATGAAGCTTTTCTTTCTACCTCTATCTGTGATGTCTCTGCAGAAATGGCCACACTGAGCATTCGATCTAGTTCCAGATGGAAGAGCTGTTGTCAGAGAGCAAACACCTGGCTCAGGCTTCCAGCAGTGGACTCTGCAGAGTCTGCTTTCCACCCAGAGATGGAGGGCAGGTATGCTCAGGGCACCTGTTTCATATGGTCCCATCAACTGGCAACTCTCCTACATGCATGCATCAGATAAGCTAGCCCTCCTCCAGCAGGGAAGAAGTAGCAAGGAGGGTGGAGAGAGAGCAGGTTCCCCTTTCAATGAGCCAGTATGGGGATGTGCAGATAGCAGGAACAAGAATCCTTTGGAGGAAGTAGCAGATGATTAGGGAGAGACCAGCTCAGTCTCTCAAAGGCTGGGGCCTTGGCAGATGCATGGGTAAGGTGGAAAGGGAACTTGGACCCAGACCATTGGGTTAAGATCCTACCTACCGTCATCACTTATGAGCTCTGTGACCTTGTGTGCAAGTTATTTAACCTCTTGGCTCACAGGTTTTGCATGTGTAAAATGGAGATAAGAGTGCCTATCTCATGAGATTGCTGGGTGGATTAAATGAGATAATGCCTTTAGAGCACCTAGCCCAGTGCCTGGCACAAAGGAAGTGCTAAATAAATGTTTATTTCCTTCCATAGTGGGAGGGTGGAAGAGGCGAGATTCTGAGACACAAGTCATGAGCTTAATCTGCTGTACTTGGTGTCATGTGGGCCCAGGACACTGCAGTGGATAAGCCATGGAGTACAATCCAAGAAAGTCCCCTGAAACTCTCCCCTCCACTCTGCCCCGTGAGCTGTTAGACCACACAATCTCTGTCCCCTGAACTCCTTCCTCTCCCCTGATGGCCTCTGTCTAGTTGGAGAGATGCTGAGAATATGCCCAGCATGAGTCCACCAGGCACCTGCCAACTGCCTGTCCCCTCCCTCCCTGCTTAGACAGATCACCCTTGTCAGACGCGGCAGCATCCCGCTTCATCACTCTAATTGCAGTGTGGTTTGCGTTCATCAAGGAAACAGCAGGGATTCCAAATTAAATTCCAACATGCAATTTAGTCAAGATATAAGGCCTATTGAGATACTATCTTCAGAATCCTCCCCCAGCCCTTTCTTTGAGAGGTAGAATTTCCCTGCTGTCAGTGCTGCCAAGCCCCATGCCTGTCTACTGGGACCAAGACTCTCTGGAATGGGGATTCTCCCTGGGCTGCTGGCCAGTTTCTCTCCCATTTTACAGACAGGGTTGTTGAGGCATAGAGAAGGGTCTTAGACACGGAAAAAGCCCTGGGGTGCATGGAAGCCAGGACTGGCCTGGGCTTGTCTATCTTTGGGAATTGTGCATAACAGAGTATCTTTCTGGCATACCCTGAGATGACAGAGGAGCCCATTCTGAGTGGTAGGAAGGGCCATGGATCTCATTGTGAAGAGCAGAACCATTCTATCAGCACTCGTTTGCTTGAAAGAGGCTTCTGAGCAGGGTGCAGGCACAAACCCACTCTCTCAGGCTTCATACCAATGGGCCAAGCCCTTCCTAGCAGACCTCTCGTCCAGGGGCTTCCTGACTGCTTCCTGCCCCCAGTTTCTGCCAACTCTGAAATGTTTCATGACACCAGAATTAAGATGACAAAGTCAGTGGGAAACCACAGATATGAGTGGGTGTGGTGGCTCACAGCTGTAGCCCCAGCATTTTGGAGGTGGAGGCAAGAGGATTGCTTGAGACCAGGAATTCGAGACCAGCCTGGGCAACATAGCAAGACCCTGTATCTACAAAAAATAAAAAAAATAAAAAATAAAAAAAATCCAGGTGCGGTGGCCTATGCCTGTAGTCCTAGCTACAGGGGAGGGTAAAGCAGGAGGATTGAATGCTGCAGTGAGCTGTGGCTGCATCACTACACTCCAGCCTGGGTGACAGAGCGAGACCCTATCTCTAAAAAAAAAAAAAAAAAAAAAGAAAGAAAAATTAAAAAAAGAAAACCACAGATGTGAAGAAGCAATTAAACTGGGAAGTCGCAGAGTGAGGACTGTTCTTCTGGCTCACTCCTTTAGTTCTGCCCAGACAGGCAGTGGGTATGTGCCCAGACTGAGAGCCTCTCTCCAGAGGAGCATCTGCCACGGCACCATCCACAGTCTGTGGTTGTTTACTGCCAGAGACAAATCCACCCCAAGTAAGCTTTGGACTCAGATGAGAAGTACAACAAAATGCCAAAACACCCTCTGGGGTCCAGGGATCCCTGCAGTGGGGGTTGGGGTACAGGGACACCAAAGTCATGTGAGCCGAAACCCTGGAAACTCAGCTAAAAAGAAGAGCTTCTGCAAAGCCAGCCCTGCCTGGCAAAGCTGCATTTCTCCAGAGGCCCTGGATTCAGCCCCGAAAACTGCACAGATTTCCAACCATTTGGTAGAAGGAGAACCATGGCTTTAGGGAACTGATTGATTTTGAGAGCAGCAAGGCAGCAAATAACCCCTAGGGAAGAAACATCCAGTCCTGCTCTAGAACCTGAAGGCAGGAAGTAGACATTTCAATCCAAGCCTGATGTCTTCACTTGAAGGTGGAAGGCAGTGACTGCCCCGCACCAATTTCCCCAAAAGTAACAGCAAACAGAAAAAGGAGGGGACATCACTCATCTAAAATGATGGTAAGGGTAAAACAGTGATTAGAGCCTGGGCTTTGAGCTCACATCCGAGATTGAGTATTTACTAGCTTTTGGTGTTAGAATAAGCTCCTTATATCTCTAGGCCTCAGTTTTCCAATCTGGAAAGAGGGTAGAATATCCATCTTCCATGGTTCATTCAGAGTAGAGTCAGCAAATTTTTCTATAAAGAGCCACATAGCAAATACTTTGGGCATTTTGGGCCATATGGTCTCTGTTTAATGCTACAACTCTGCATGAAAGCAGCCAGGGAAATAGTACATGAATGGGAATGGTATGTCCCAACAAATCTTTATTTACAAAATAAGCAGTGGACCAGATTTGGGTTGTGGGTCACATTTGCCAACTCCTGATTCAGAGGATTATGTGTTAGCAAAGTGCTTGGCACAAAATAACTGAAGAATAAATGATGTTAACTACTACTATTATTATCAGCCTTGCTGCTCTGCGTTTGGCCACTTAGATCATCAGGTGCCAGTAAACAGCTCTACTTCCCTTCTCCCTGCATTATCCTGTCAGTCAGTCAATATATTAGTCCATTTTCTCATTGCTATTAAGAACTACCTGAGATGGGGTAATTTATAAAGAAAAGAGGTTTAATTGGCTCATGGTTCTGCAGGCTGTACAGGCAGCATGGGTAGAGAGGCCTCAGGAAACTTTCAATCATGGCAGAAGGCAAAGAAGAAGAAGGCACATCTTACGTGGTGGGAGCAGGAGGAAGAGAGAAAGCAAAGGGGAAGGTGCTATACACTTTTAAACAACCAGATCTCATGAGAACTCACTATCATGAGAATAGCAAGGGGGAAGTCCACCCCCATGAATCACTCACCTCCCAACAGGCCCCTCCTCCAACACTGGAATTACAATTCAACATGAGATTTGGGTGGGGACACAGAGCCAAACCATATCACTCCATTTCCAAAAAGGGCATGTGAATGGACCCACTCAACTCCTGGGTGCAGGTGCAGTCAAGATTTTGTCCTGACATGATTTGCTTAATGCAAATTCCCAGTTCCTTAGCATTTAAAGGAAGGGCAGTTTGGATTCATAGTGAAGGAACAATGACAGGACTTCCCATTAAAAATGTCTATTACCCTTCACAAGGGACTTTCCTTTGCAATATCATGTGGATTTCTCAATGCTGCTTGAAGAGATAATGACTATTACAACCATTTTGTAGACAAGACACTGATTTTTGGTAAGACACACTGATATGTGTGAAGTCACAAGATCAGGAGCAGAGCTGAGACTTGATCTCAGATCTTTGGACTCTAGATCCAGTGCTCATTTCTCCCACAACTCATTGGGCTGAATATTGGATTAGTTAGGATCTTTGCTGCAAATGATGAAGCCTATTTTGCTGATTTAAACAGAAAAGGAATTCATTAAGTGACTTGAAGAGTTTCTGGGAGGGCCAGAGGATTGGGCTTGAGCAGAAGTCATTATTCTCAAAGTATTGGGGTAGTCAGACACGTGGCTTCACAGTCTTCTCCATGAGCTTACTTGTTGCAATACCATTTTGAAGTCTTCATGTAGCAGCACCTTCTTGGCCTTCCTTGCCAGCTCATTTCTCCATCTGTCCCAGGCCCCAGGCTAGTGGCCTTGGAGATAATGTCCCAGATCCTCCAACTTTCCAGACCATCCCTCCACCAGCTCTTTCTGCAACAGGATAAGCCCTAATTTCCATATGAAATCCCTTATTCCTGTAATACTTGTAGTGGCTCTGACTGATCCCAGCTGATACACCAGGCAAGCACAAACATCATTTTCATGAAAAGATCACTTATTAGATCTAAGCCAAGCCAGCAAGTGGGGTCAAGACATTCACATTCAATCATTTCCTGGTAACTGAGGGCTGAGTTATTTAAGCAGTTTATTTTTCATGTAAAAGGAGGCTGGCCCTGTCTTCTCTTTCTATAATTTCTTACCTCTTTTCCCTGTTTGAACAAAGTGTCAGTTTCTTATCTCCAAACTGGGGATGCCACCATTTTCAAATAGAATCTGCGGTCCTATCCCTGGGAAGTTGCCTGGCATGTCGGTGTGCTCTTAGTTGATTCACAGACTAGCACACCAAGAACACACTTCCAAGATGGTCTGGCCCAAGTCCTCTTGCAAAAGAGTCATACCTATTGAGGGGTCACCAAAAGAGCAGGCCCCCAGGTGGGCATGTGTTCAGGTACCACCTCCATCACTTAGTCCCATTCTTCACATTCCAGTGTATTGTTTATTATTTCAAGGTATTTCAACTCACCTTCCCAAGTTCTCATGTACTGCTTTAGTCTAGGGATCAATCAGTATCTTGGTCAAGAAGGAGTCTGGTACTTCCATCTTCCACGAATCTCAGTGTGGCCACAGCTGAGGTCCCAAAGACATCAATAGCAATATTCCAAGTGGCTGTGGCTCCTGATGGTTCTCTGATGGGGAAGAGTATTCTAGGGATCTTGAGAAGCTGTTCCAGTAAAGGGAACAGCAAGAACAAAGTTTGGGAGCTGAGAGTCTGCCTGGTAGGTTCGAACCAGGAGGGTGGTCAGGATAGCTGGAGCAGGGTAAGGGAGAAGGGAGAAGCCAGGTGGTGGAAAGTCCCATAGACTAGCATTTTGATCTTTCTCCGCAGTGAGTTGACAATTATTCAAAGAATCTGAGAATAGGCTGTGAGCGGTGGTGTGTGCCTGGAAAAGTTATTCAAAGATTCTGAGAATAGGCTGGGAGTGCTGGTGTGTGCCTGGAATCATGGCATTTTGGGAGGTAAAGGTGGGCGGATCGCTTGAGCTCAGGAGTTTGAGGCCAGCCTGGGCAACATGGCAAAACCCCATCTCTACAAAAAACACAAAAATTAGCTGGGCATGTTAGCCCATGCCTGCAGTCCCAGATACTCGGGAGGCTGAGGTGGGAAGTTCACTTGAGCCCGGGAGGTTGAGGCTGCAGCGAGCAGAGATCATGCCACTGCACTCCAGCCTGGGTGACAGAATGAGACCCTGTCAATAAATAAATAAATAAATAAATAAATAAAGAAAAGAAAAGAAAGAGATTCTGAAAATAGGCCAAAGGGAGGCAATCTAGGGGAGAGATGATATGAGCTGTGTGGGGTTGAAAAGTTGTCATTCTAGAAAAGCCAAATTTGGACCTGACAGAAATTTTCACCAGATCCCAGATCTTGGATCTGATTAGATGGAATGGTTGGGTGTCTTCTTTCAGAAGGGAAAGAAGAGTGCAAACACAGGTTTGGTCACCAGCACCAAAATCCATTTCTGGTTCTTCCTGGACACACAGCTAATCTAACTTCTCAGCCTCTCTTACAGGTAGGTCTGACCATGGGACTGACCAGGCTCTGTGCAATGAAATGTGAGTGAAGGTGTGTGTTGCTTCCAGGTCTGGCCCGTAAACACTGCCCATGCATGTGTGCTCCTTGGAATGCCTTTTCTCTGCTGGCTCACTGGGATGACTCACCGTCAACGGTGACCTTGAAAAGCATGTAAAGTCAAATACAGCCTGATATTAGAACTTTAGAGTGAATTATCCTTGCTCAGACTATAAACTCAGCCCAACTGAGGCATCAGTAATATTTAAATTAACATGCTTCCTCCAATATTTCATCACAGCTCCCCATGATTATACCTTCAAGCTCTCAATATAATGGAAACTCAGCCCCTCAGCTCCAGTGACACAAGCTGTTCCAAAATTTCTAGTGGATGGTTCTCTAGATATTGACACATCCTAACTTTCAGGTATAGACAAATGGTTAACTATGGAAAGCCTCATTAACTGCATGCATACTTGAGTCTAGGTCTTTAGGTAGCTTGATAAGGGTGATGAATGGGAATATATTTCTGATCCATCAGCTTAAAAATACTGTGAAGGATGGGGAAACTCTTGGCAGGATAATTGCCCCATTTCAGTGGTTGGGAGACAGTTCTGAGCCCAAGAGATATTTGGGGTATCTTTAGGGTAGAATTCCTCCTACACAGCTTATTCATGACCGTCTCACAAAAGTATACATGATCCAACCCCAACTTGAAACTAACCTTGCCTCATAGGTTTAAGGAAAGGCTGTTGAGTCTCCTGAAATTTTCACTGCAACGTTGCCTCTGTTTCTTTCAGACCATATAATGCCCATGGTTACATTGTCTGAAGCTTGTAGTTGTCTGCTATTTTCTTATGTATATTACAAATTGTACCAGCCAGTTGTGAGTCCCATTCTTTGGTGGGGGTTTACAGCAGATATATTGGTATTTGGTCTACTACCAGACTCTTTCCATATGGGAATTTTCTCTTTCCCACTTCATGTAATTCAGGTGGGGCTGTCAATCAAGGGACTGAGACCCACTCATAGTAGTGGTCACATGACCAAGAACAACCAATCGTGAGTCCGTTTAAAGGTTTCTATAGATGCTAGGAGAGAGTGCCTCTCCTGAGACTGTGAACCTGGGTTTTCTGGACTCTCTTTTCCATGAGCAAGCAGGGCTGAGAAACTGGCAAGGGAGGAACAAATTCCTAATGAAGGCTGTTGAGCAGCTGGATCCAGGTCTGCTTGAACCCAAAAGTTCCATAATCTTGGACTTGGTTGCTTTAGACAATATATCTTCTAAAATTTAATGCAATTAATCATGTATGAGTCAGATTTCTATAACTTACAACTAGGAGTTCTAATTAATGTCCTATGAACTTGTTTAGCTGTAGGATGTCAAGGGAGTCAGTATATTTTCTCACTGACCTTTTCCCTAAGGGTCTCACTGGGTGCATAGTTATGTACACTCATACACTTCCACTGCAGCCACCTGAATCTCTTTCTCATTCAATTCACTCTTAGAATCTACTGCTTTGCCTGTGGGTTGCAAGCTCAACGTAGAAAATGGACATACCACGTCACTCACTCCCATGGACCTTCTCTAAAAGACAGATTCCTGTAATCCCAGCACTTTGGGAGGCTGAGGCGGGTGGATCATGAGGTCAGGAGATCGAGACCGTCCTGGCTAACACGGTGTAATCCCGTCTCTACTAAAAATACAAAAAATTAGCTAGGTGTGGTGGTACACGCCTATTATCTCAGCTACTTGGGAGGCTGAGGCAGGAGAATCACTTGAACCTGGGAGGCAGAGGTTGCAGTGAGCCGAGATTGTGCCACTGCACTCCAGCCTGGGCAACAGAGTGAGACTCTGTCTCAAAAAAAAAAAAAAAAAGACAGATTGCTGTGTGAGTTCATGACCTTGAAGAACTCCCAGTAAGAGTAGTTTTTTGTTTTTTTTTTTTCCTAGGATTGCTATATTGAACCCAAATATTTAGGATTTCATTAAGAAAGCCTCTCTTCAGCTTAATCCTGTATCTTCTTATTTTGGAAGAGAACTAATAGGGGCCTTGAATTGTCTGCTTCATGAGTTTTTCTATTTTTAATTTTTTTTCTTTTTTGAGACGGAGTCTCGCTCTGTCACCCAGGCTAGAGTGCAGTGGCTCGATCTTGGCTCACTGCAAGCTCTGCCTCCCAGGTTCATGCCATTCTCCTGCCTCAGCCTCCCAAGTAGCTGGGACTACAGGTGCCCACCACCACGCCCGGCTAATTTTTCTTTTTTTTTGTATTTTTAGTAGAGATGGGGTTTCACCATGTTAGCCAGGAAGGTCTCAATCTCCTGGCCTCATGATCCGCCCACCTTGGCCTCCCAAAGTGCTGGGATTACAGGCGTGAGCCACCACACCCGGCCTATTTTTAATTTTTTGAGATTGGTGTCATTTCAAGGGTTCTAGTACTCCAAGCCATTAACACAACTGTTTCTTCTCTTCAGTGTCCTTAGCTTTACATCTATGAACCCAATGTGGAAGTGATCCTTTAGATTACTGACAAACCACAGCCCACAGGTCAAATCCCACCAGTAGCCTGTTTTTGTAAATAGTTTTCTTGGAACACAGCCACATCCATTCAATTTTGTATTGTCTATAGCTGCTTTTGCAGTTGCTACAGAAACCACACGGCCACAAGCCAAAAATATTTATTCTCTGGCCCTTTAGAGAAAGTTTATCAACCCCTGCTCTAGCTGAGTATTTTACAATCATTGCAAAGCACTAGCATCCATAAAAAATGCTCATCTTGGCATCCATAAAAATGGTATTCATGGCTGGGCGTGGCAGCTCACGCCTGTAATCCCAGCACTTTGGGAGGCCGAGGTGGGCGGATCACGAGGTCAGGAGGTCAAGACCATCTGGCTAACACGGTGAAATCCTGCCTCTACTAAAAATGCAAAAAAAAAAAAAAAAAAAAAAAATTAGCCGGGCATGGTGGTGGGTGCCTGTAGTCCCAGCTACTCGGGAAGCTGAGGCAGAAGAATGGCGTGAACCCGGGAGGCGGAGCTTGCAGTGAGCTGAGATCACGCCACTGCACTCCAGCCTGGGCGACAGAGCGAGACTTCATCTCAAAAAAAAGAAAAAAAAAGGTATTCATAAGGTACCTCGAGGGATGATGAAATGAGTAACTTGACAAATCTTTGGGGCTTGGGAAAGTCTACTCTACATCACTTGGGGCAGGGCATGACATAGCATATATTTGGGATACACATGCCTGACAGCCCAGTCTTCATTTGAGGAATCTGGGATCAATACATGATCCAAATCTTGGTACTGTGGGTCTTGCATTTGGATTTCCATGTGGATTTCATTTCGGCCAGGGCTGGAGTTACTGTCCCTGTTCATGATGGTGGTGCTGGTGACCTATGGGGCATCCTAACTTCCTTCCCAGGCAGATGTCCCTGCTGCATTGGCCAACATGTGGCTCCAAAACTAGACTTAAAAAAGCATAAAGATGTTCCCATCATTGATGGGGACAATCTGAGCCATTTGTGTTTTGAAACTAATTACTAGCCCACCTATCCAAGAGCTATAGTGTGCTCCTGAATATGTGGTCAGAATCTGTTACAGTTATCACAGCTACTTGTCCTTTTCCCTTGAACAATGCTGTAGCAAAGGCAGAAACACCCATCTTCCAATATGATTTCCCAGGGCCCATTACATTAACTGGTGTCCACAACTTTGCCTCTGTATTCCAATCATATCAGCTGCAGAATCCTGAAGCATCCATCACATTTTGAGGTCCCACCAACATATTCTTCCTTTTTCTCATTTTATTATGGCATAAATTCATTGCAAAAGCTATGACAGAAGTGACTGTCCACTGTTTATATTGCTATAAGGGAAATGAGTGGGTCAAGGACCATTTGCACAAACAGAAAGAATGAAACTGCAAATTTATTAGAAAGTATAAAAATTAAAAAACAAAACCAAGCCTAACCAAAACACAAAAAGCAACGACACACAACCTTTCCAGTTTACATTAACTTTGAGCGTCACACACTATTAACCACTTAGTTGCATTTTTTAAAAATGTCAATTTCAAGGTAGAGGGAGCTGAGTCAGGTAATAGGCCAGTCATCACAGTGTAACTAATTTAATGCTAAAATAAAACACGGATCTCATTTGAGAAAAAAAGAGATGAGACTATTTTCTGGTTGGCGTAGATTTAGGCAATGTATAAAAAAGCTTCCTGGTTGGAATGAGTTAAAAAATATTGCTGGCCACTAATGTGCCATCTTGAGTTGGAAAACAAACCCCCTCCCCCCCAAAAAAACCCTGCCGCTTTGGTGTCCTATTTATATATTTTTAAAAACATTCATTAAAAAAATCAAATCTATAATAAAAATGTCCCTGTTTGTTTTAAAAAAGCATTAGTAGGCATCCCTTATCTACTAAAACCATTTGTTTTTCCTAAGATGCCTGGAAGCAGAAAAGCGAGTGAGATTAACTCACTGCGCAATTAATTAAAATTAGAATTCTTTCCTCTAAACAACTTCCAGAGCACCAGAAAGAAGAAGGGGCCCCATCAAAGGGAGAAATAAAGCCCTTCTGACTCACAGGAGATGAAATGTTCAGCCAGAGTTCTAACACATTCTGGCTGTCATCAAAAGTTCTTTATTGGATTACTCAGAAAATAACTCAAGTGCTATTTTAAAAATGAAAGATACAGGCAGCTAGGTTCCTTTCCGTTTTTCTTTCTTTCTTTCTTTCTTTTTTTTTTTAAACAAAACAAAATACCAGTGGCTAGCTTTTCTGTAACATCCTTTGGATTTGGTTAAAAAAAGAAAGAAAAGTCTACAGAACAGGATCACTGAATGCCACTTTAGCCCCACTTCCTGCAGGCTCTGTTTTAATTAGCGTCAAACAGGTTACTGAACATTTCTTCAGCTGCGGAAAGAAGTTCTGAATGGGTGACAGCTGCCCGGAGTGGCTCTACCTGGTTCCATTTTACCCCTCATCAGTCAGTGTGGTTTCTTGCCAAACAACACCTAACGTTTTACCCCTTATTCCTGCAGGGAGGCGGGCCCTGTGGCTGACTGGACACAGAGAAAAAAAAGAAAAACTAGCACAAACATAGAGACTATACACGGAGGGAGAGAGGAGTCCCTCTTTCTGCTTCCTTCAAGAACTTGATAAATAATAACCTCAAAGTGCAACAATGCACAAATGTCTGGCACACAGGTTAGTCTGGAGTGACTTGTTATCACGGGGCTCAGCGGGGCAAGGGTGTGATCTCCTTTTGCATCTTTCTTTGGACCTTGTTAAAGGAAAAACAAAAAAAGAGACAGCTTTCCTATACACATATAAATAGTCCCTTAACTAGAAGGGAAAAAACAAACACACTGTTTCAAATGCATTTCTAAAAGATTTAAAATAGATCCAAATGGAAAATCTTGACTCCAAATTGTCTCTTGCCCATGTGTCTCAGAGGAGAAACTACTGGGATGTTGGGAGAGGCCTGACCCTGACCCTAACTCTAACTAGAGGTGCTGGTATTGGGACCTTGGGAAGAGGAGCGTGCACAGTGCAGGGAGCCAGGAGAGCTTGCTGGAGGTATTGAACATGGCTCTCACCTGTGATAGAAACCAGTGTCCTCAAGTCCAAATGCACAGGTAAAAAGGACTTTGCAAGTGTTAAGGGAACTTTGGAGGCCAGTGTTGAGGCTGCATGAATGAGCAAGACAGGCTGGGTGTGGGCCACAGGGACATACAGCCAGGTCAGACTTTGGGCCAACTCAAGTTAGGTCCTCATTCCTTGGCTACGGGCAGGTCAGCTGGGAGGGTGACAGTCCAGAAACCAGGTAAGTGGCTGTAGAGCCAGGGCAGGTGTAGGGTCTTGGCAGCCTGCATTTTAGGAGCTGAGAACTTGGATAAACTCATGGGAGGGGCTCCCTGCCTATTTTAGGATGAGGCTGATGATATATGCTGCTGAGGAAAGCTCTCAGAATGAGCATTCTTGGGCAAATTTCTAAAGCCAGAATTTATACAGGGTAGATGGTTTCAGAGTCCTTCACAAAACCAAAATAACGTTGCGACTGCTGAAGGGTGTTACTCACGTCCAAAGTTTTCTTTGGCCACTGACTCTGCTGAACTGGGGGCATCAAATAGGATTGTGCAAAGCAGGTTTTGATGCTCAAATGGAATTTTTTTGGGGGGGTGACCATCCAGTGATGGCCTCCTGGTTAGATCATCTAACCCAAATCCCCAAATGCTATAAGGTAACTACCCAGCAGAGAGAATTGGGTCCAGCGTCTCCTGCACTTCTGAGCATCCAATATAGCACAGAAACATTGCTCTCTCCCAGCCTATTTCAATACTGTTTTATATGCTGTCTCTCCAACAGAAACAGAATAATGTGAAAAATGAGGGTGTGATCTCGGGTCCCAAGGGAAGAGTGACCTGACAGAAAAGACGCACAACAGATCATGTCAACTGAGACGCCAGAAAAACATCTCTGAAGTCTGGGGGAGGAGGGGAATGCAGAGATAGTTAATATCCCAAACTGTAACTTGAGACACCCTTACAGGTGCTTAAAGAGCTTCCCATGAGCACAAATTGTTAGAATGGCAACAAGTCAGAGCAGATTAACCCATATGGACTTTGGAATAACTGGGACTTATACTTCTTCAGTGCCCTGGCTGGGCTCAGAGTCCCTGGGCTCAGCAGTGCCCTCCTGGGGGCCAGGCTGCCCCGGGCTGTGGCTGGTGTCTTCCACGCTCAGGAGGCTGCTGGCTGCCTGGGAGCTGGCACTGTTGGCACTCCCGGACCGGGAGCGGTAGGGGGGCAGGTCGGCTTGGTTCAGAGATTCCGTGTCAGAAGAGTAGGGCGGTGGAGGAAGGTCATACCACGCAGGCCTGTGATGGGGACAGCAGGGGGGCAGGGGCAATGGAGACAGGAAGAGAAGAGAACACATTAGGGCCAAGATAAGCCAACTTCAGCCCATTTCTGAGACAGTGTTTCCAGTGCGAAATGAGATTTTTCCCTCCAAGTACAAAGACAATTAATTCAAGGACCAGGAACCACATCGGAACAGAAAAGGCCAGTGTGTTCTGGCTGGTTGGTGTTGACCGGACGGTGCCAAAACCACATCCTCTGGGTAGAACCAGAATGAGGTCGCCCACCAAGTCCCTCGGCTCAACCTGGGTGGTTTGGCATTGCCACTCTGCTCCATCAGCCAAAAGCCCTGTGGCCAAGAGGCTGGGCTGGTATCTTGACTGGGCCTCTGATGGGAACATGGAATTGGCATTTCTATTGAAAGCCAACTCTTCCTGGCTATGAACTGGGGTGAGAGGACATCCTCTCAACACCTCGGTCTGTATCGGCAGAAGGGGCTTAAAAGGAATGAATTTAACAGAAAAGACATTTTATTTTCTAGCTCTCATTTACTGAAGGCTTCTCATGAGCCAGGCACTTTGCCATGCCCCTTACATTCCTTACCTTATTTAATGCTCACAAGAATGCTGGGAGGTGGGCATTACTTTCATGCCTGTTGCTCTGGTGAGGAAACTGAGGCACAGGGACATTCAATGTCTGGCCCAGCATCAGAAATAACTGGTAAACAGCAATGCTGGGATTTGAACCCACGCATTCTGTTTCCAGATTCAGCAATTTTAACCTTACCCTATGCTGGGTGGTCCAAATGAAGAGGTTATGAGTGGGAACTTTATTAGGTGAGGAAGGTCCTGAATTCTTACACTTATTTGCAAAGAGATCCTTAAGCGCCATCCTCTCCCCTGACCTCTGAAACTTTATTCACCTTCTATGAGGAAGGAAAACGAAGATTCAATAATGTAAGAGCTGCCATGGAAGAGGGTCCAAGGAAGAGCCCAGTCACCATCAGAACACGGCCAGCAAAATGTCTAATGCCATACACGGCAGAGCTTGAGGAAGAGGGATGCTGATCAGGAAACGGGCCCACTGCTTGCTTCAACTACAGAACTCTGCTTCCTGGCTTTATACATACTGGGAGTTCTTGTACAATTCCATTTGCAATGTGGTACTGCTTAAAAAAGCTTGAAAGTGCTCCTTTCCACCTCCTTTATTTTATAGATGAAGCCAAGCAAAGTTAAGGAACTCACTGATTCTCTCATTCATTCACTTCTTCATTTATCCATTCATTTGACAGATATTAACCAAACCTCTCACATGTACTGGGCACTGCTCTGCAGTAGCAGGTGAGGCTCAGAGCTAGTCTGTGGCCAGAACATGGACCAGCGTGACATTCCCAGGAGGAGCAGGCCAGGATCCTAACTGTATGTTCCTCAGACAAGTCATTTAACATCCCAGAGCCTCAGTTTCCTCATCTGTAGAATTTGGAAATTTCCTGATTTGTGCAACTATCACCATAATCCAGTTTTGGAACATTCCTATCAGTTTCCTCCCTCAGCGAGGTGCTAAGAGGATTAAATGAGGTGATACATGTAGAGAATTTTGCGAGGACTCGGCAAATGTCAGATGCTGCCACTGCCTATAGCAGCTGAAGCCAGGCTCTTGGCAAGACCTAAGAACCTCAGTGTGTGCACCTATTCCCCTCCCCGCAATGGATGACCTCTCCCGCCTCAATCTCTTCCATCCAGCACACACCTCTGGTCCAGCAAGGCCTCGGAGTAGGAGGGTGGGGAGCCTACTTCCGACGCATTCTGCTCCGCCTGGCTGGCCACATACTGGATGCCATTATTGACGTTGTAGGTGACGTTGCAGTGGTGGGGGTGGTCCAGGACCACCAGGCGGGACAGCAGCACAGGGTGCTGCAGCCGGTGCACGGGCAGCGTCATGAGGTTGTTCCGCTTCCGCTGGTGGTGCAAGACCAGTGCCAGCAGGGCCACCACCAGCACAAAAATGACGGAGCTGCCGATGATGGCATAGGTGATGCTGGGGTAATACACAAGTTGGTTCTCTGAAGTCACAAACACCTGCCCACTGCCGGGTTCTGAGAAACCCAAGAGAGGAGAGAAAAGAGAGAAGGTTACCAGTTTGGCTAATCTTTGTGTTTCAACATCAGCCCCAGAACTTGCATGCGAATGTTCACAGTAGCCCTATTCACAATAGCCAAAAAGTGGAAACCGCCCAAATGTCCACCAACCGATGAACGGATAAACAAAACGTGGTACATCCACCCAAAGGAATATTATTCAGCCATAAAAAGTTAATAAATACTGATACATGCTACTGCATGGATGGACCTCAAAAACATGATGCAGTGAACTAAGCCAGACACAAAAGATCACATATTGTAAGATTCTGTATATACAAAATTTCCAGGAAAGGCAATTTTACAGAGACAGAAAGTAGATTAGTGGTTGCCTGGAGTGGGAAAGAGAATGGGGATTAACAGTCAATGGGTATGAGGAATCTTGTTGGGGTGACGGGAATGTCCCGAAACTGGTTTATGGTGATGGTTGCACAAATTGGTAAATTTCCCCCCCGCAAAATCACTGAACTGTAAACTTAAAATGGGCAAATTTTAAGTACTGCAAATAATATCTCAATTAAGTTGTTTTAAAAAGTATCATATGCTATCCAGGGAACAGGAGTGAGAGTTCTTGTAGCAGAAATCCGTTCTTTAGTAGAAATGTATAACACACCTCAGGAACACAGGTAGTACCTCTGGGGTCCTCATACCTGCAAATCATTTATTTCAAGCCAGGCTTCACATGGAGCTTTTGGGATGGAGAGCCAGCACAGCCCAGGCTAACAGCAGGAACTCCTGGGCTCAAATCCCAGCCCCTCAAAACTTGCTTGCTGTGTGCCCTTTGGAAGTGTTACCCTCTCTGGGCTGCAAAATGGAGATGTAATAGTGCCCAGTTCTTGGGGCTTCTGTGAGCCTGAAATGAGTCAATACTCATCAGGCCCCTGAACATAGCTATACGTTATGCTCTGTAAGTGCATGTGTTCGGTACATACAAGTACATGATTCATTATTTATTTATTTATTTATTTATTTATTTGAGACAGGGTCTCGCTCTGTCACCCAGGCTGGAGTGCAGTGGCACAATCTCGGTGCACTCAACCTCCGCCTCCTGGGTTCAAGCAATTCTCTCACCTCAGCCTCCCAAGTAGCTGGGACTACAGGTGTGTGCCACCATGCTCAGCTACTTTTAGTGTTTTAGAGATGGGGTTTCAACCATGTTGGCCAGGCTGGTCTCGAACTCTTGACCTCAAGTGATCCAACTGCCTCGGCCTCCCAAAGTGCTGGGATTACAGGCGTGAGCCACTGTGCCTGGCCAAGTACATGCTTTATATCACATCTCTCTGCCTCATAACAACTCCATGGGGTAGGTGGTGTGATTCTCCTTTTTTTTTTAAGATGAAGAAAATGAAGCTCAGAGAAGTCAGTTCCCCTGACCAAGGCCACACAGTTTGGAGGTAAGGAGTTGTGCGTGAGTTGAGTCCAGGGGTCTGACTTCAGAACCTGGCCCCAGCGTTCTGCTCTACATCACCCGAATAAGACCTGCCAGGCAATCTGCAGGCACTTCCTCGGGAGTTCCAGGGTGAAGGTCTGGTACACATCCCACCCCTGCAGGTTGCTATCATAATAGCCTTCTCTCCACACATGCTAAGGAGCCATACTTCAAGCACCCAGGTAAGGAGCTTCCCAGTCAGCAGGACACACCTGGCTACCACTGTAAGGTCCAGGCAGGTGGAGGAAACCAGGGGTCCGAGCTGGGGACCCCTCATCTTTACAGAGAGCTGCCACTACCTACTGTCATGGCCTAGCTGGAAGAATAATCTAAATGCAGCTCAAGTGAGTAAACTTGGTGGCCAAGACCCTGTCCTTGTTCTGCCTGTGAGGCAGTGAGGAGGTTTCAGTGGGTCCACAGGGGTCAAAATGTAGCCATGAAATAGCAGCAGTGGCAGCGACTACAGGTGACTCATGTCCTCTGTCCTGGCATCGGCTAAGGGCTTTACTCCATCCCTCATCACTAGGTGTGCGTCTGTTTTGTTCACTGCTGTATCCCCAGAGAGTAGGATGGTGCCTGGCACATAGTAGGCACTCAATAAATACCTGCCACTCAATGGGAAAAAAATCTGTTTATTCACATGCCCTAGTAAAATGAGTGCTGTTGTTATTGCTATTTTTCAGATAAGCAAATTGACTCAGAGAGGTGAATTATTTTGTCTAACATCACCTAAGAAGGAGGCAGAGGAACAGGACTAGAATCTAGATGTTTCTCCTTCAAAAAACCACAAACCTGCGAAACACATTGACTTCTCTTCTTTTCTGATATAAACATTTTCTGATTCCCCAAATGATCCCAATCTGAGACAAATGAGGACCTTCCCCTTCAAGGTCCGGCTCTGTGTGTTAATTTGTCTCTCCAGCCACACCCAAACACAGACTAAAAGCTACAAAGATTCTCCAAGTCCGTGGTGGTCACTCTTTCAATGATTCATTGCACAGAAAGAAGCAAATAGGGGCCCAGCAGAAAAACAGAATCATGCTGCACTACAATTAAGGGAGGGAGGCAATTTTGGATTTTTTCTGGAGACAATTAGCTGTCATTCAAGGATTCTACTGGAGTTTTGTCTGTTCTCAGTGAGACAATTAGAAGCTGGGTGGAGGCTTGTGTATGTGTATGTTTCAGAATTCTGGCTTAAACTAAAATAACTTCTTTATTTTATTATCTAGCAGGGAGAGCTGTAGAGTTAGGAGCCTTGGGGGAATCCTGGAGCCACTGCTTCTAGCTGTTTGAGCTCAAGTGAGTCACTTAACTCTTAGAAGCCTCACCCTCCTCGTCTGTGAAATGGTGGTGGTCCTGGGTAAACAACAGTATCCGTGTCTCCCTGGACTATCCAGATGGTAGAGTATAACATATACACAAGTGCTGAGCACAGTGCCTGGCAAGGGTTTGCCTCAGTCATGCTAGTTCTTTCTTGTAACAACCACCACTACAACAAAATAATAATTATTATTATATAATTATATAATATATAATTATATAATAATGATAAAATAGACATAACATAAAATTTACCACTGTAACCATTTTAAAGTGCACAGTTCAGTGGCGCTTAACATTCATACACATTATTAACGTTCACACATGTTATAGTGCATCCATCACCACTATCCAGCTCCAGAATTTTTCATCATCCCTCACTAATGAACACTAGATTTTAGTGTTGCTGTTCTTACCATTATCCTCACCAACTTCTCGCAACTGGGGGTAGAAAGCTGGGGGAGCCACCTCTGGGGGATGGGGCTGGGGAGAAGATATGAACAGACTGAGTTCCATTCCAGTGAGATGTATTTTTTTTATTTTTTATTCCTTTTTAATGTTTAATATGTATTTTTTGAGACAAGGTATCACTCTGTTGCCCAAGCTGGAGTGCAGTGGCGCGATCTTGGTTCAACAGCTTCAACCTCCTGGGCTCGAGCCACCTTCCCGTCTCAGTGGCTGGGACTACAAGGGTGCGTCACACAACCTAGCTAATGTTTGCATATTTTGTAAAGACGGAGTCTCCCTATGTTGCCCAGGCTGGTCTTGAACTCCTGGGCTCAAGTAATCTATCCATCTCTGCCTTCCAAAGTGTTGGGATTACAGGCGTGAGTCACCACTCCTGGCCAGTGAAATGTATTTCTTAAAGGAGGAAAGTGGGTAAACTGTCACACAGAAAACAAATGGTCCAGAGATTTTAAAACGCTGACTTCTGTGTAAACACGTGAGGTTTTAAGAATACAAGTGGGAGCCCTTTAAAATGCATGGGATATAAAATGCCTGTGGAACTTAATGGGCTCACTTATGTCTCCGAAAGCAGGCTCTCTTCAGACCTCTCTTCACTTTGGCAGGCGAGACGCAGCGATCACATTTGCCTGAGAAATTATGATGTTGCATAACTCAGTGGTGCCTGCTCTCGTTTTTGCTGTGTGTAAAATGTCATCTTGTGTTAATTCATTAACTAGGCCCACTTTTCTTAAGAGCTTAATGAGCCTGCTGGCCAAATTACTAATATCAGAGTTGCCTAGGACCTAAGTTCCAAGTGCATAATCCATGGATAATGAAGTTTCCATTTATTCTGGCTGTCCCTCAAGCTAATGCCCTTGTGCTCCACTGTCAAGCATCTTGAATTCTTGTCCTGTACGTGCCGCTTCGACTGTACTAATTCCAGGCAATCTGGTCACTACCTAGAAACTGCTGTTCTATCAAGACTGCCAGTAGCTCCACAGCTGCCTGTGGAGAAGCAGGCTGTGTTTTGTACAACTCCAGGGGTGCTCTTCACCTCAAAGTCATTACATATTTGTTTAGTTATCACGACAGCCTTCTAGCAGATGGCAGCCAAGTGTCTTGAGGAGGAGTACCTTTAACTAATTCACTCAGAGGTGCTGTCTGGACCAGCAAAGGCACTCAAGCAGCTGACACTTGTGACTTGGTGTTCTTTCACTTCCAAAAAAATCCCCTCCTCCAGATGCAAATTAAATTTCCTACCGGATACCATTTTTCGCCTATCAGATTGGCAGAAGCAAAGTTTGAGCTCATATACTGCTGGCCAGGTCTCAGGCAAACAGGTATATTCGTGCCTGGTATATATGCAGGCATGGCTAGTGGGAGGGTAAGTCAGTACCAACCCAGGGTGGTGGAGGAGCTAATAATATATATTAATATAAAAATGTGCATATTCTTTGAGATTGGCCAGGCATGGTGACTCATATCTGTAAACCCAGCTCTTTGGGAGGTGAAAGTAGGGGGGATGGCTTGAGTCCAGGAGCTCGAGACCAGCCTGGGCAACATAGGGAGACCCTGTCTCTGCAAAAAATAAAAATGTAATAATTTAGTAAATTAGCTGGGCGTAGTGGCATGTGCCTGTAGTCCCAGCTACTCAGGAGGCTAAGAAGGAAGATCTCTTGAACCCAGGAGTTTGAGGCTGCAGCGAGCTATGACCATGCCACTATGCTCCAGCCTGAGTGACAGAGCGAGACCCTGTCTCTAAAAAACCAACAAACAAAATGAGCATTCATGAAAGCATGGTTCATAACAGCAAGATATATCAGAAACAATCCAAATGTTTATCAGTTGCAGCCTGGCTAAATAAATTATGGTGTATCCGTACAATCTTGTACCTATTTTTAAAATTAGGGAACCTCTACATATACTGATATGGAACCATGAGAAGGATATATAAATAAGGGGAAAAAAGCAAAGTTCAGTAGAGAATGTATAGAATATATCTGGAAAGACACAATATAACCAGTAACACTGGGAGCTTCCAGGAAGGGGAATAGATGCTTGTGGAGAGGGAGATTTACTTTTTATTGTTTACTCCTTCCTACTTTGTAGCATTTGTTCTGTATTATCTATTAAAAAAATAAGCACTCTGTCTTCTTCCTTTAAGACTTGCCCAGGCTGATGGTGCATCTCAGTTTCTTTATTTTTATTTTTAGACATAAGGTCTTGCTATGCTGCCCAGGCTGGTCTTGAACTCTTAGGCTCAAGCGATCCTGCCACCTAAGCCTCTGAGTAGCTGGGATTGCAGCATGTGCCACTGCACCTGGCTCAGTTCCTTTATTGTTTCCTGTCCTTCTCTCCCTGTAGGTGCTTCTTGGGGTTCAGGCCTCACTGTTTCATGCTCACTTGGAGACCCCTTACTGACTCATGAGTCCCTGAGGACAGCTTCCAATGCCTCCAGCCTGACCTCTTTTTTTTTTTTGAGATGGAGTCTCACTCTGTCTCCCAGGCTGGAGTGCAGTGGCACAATCTTGGCTACTGCACGATCTTGGCTCACTGCAACCTCCACCTCCTGGGTTCAAGTGATTCTCCTGCCTCAGCCTCACGAGTAACTGGGATTATAAGCGCATGACACCCACCATGCCTGGCTAATTTTATATACTTAGTAGAGATGGGGTTTCACTATGATGGCCAGGCCAGTCTTGAACTCCTGACCTCAAGTGATCCACCCACCTCAGCATCCCAAAGTGCTGGGACTACAGGTGTGAGCCACCGTGCCTGGCCCAGCCTGACCTCCTAAGTCCAGAATTCCTGTTCTGGAATATTCATTGCCCTTCAAACTGACTCTTCCTCATCCCTTTGAAAAACTCCTACCTTGCAATTTTTTTAGAAGTATTTTTTTTCAGTTTGTTCTTCCTCCAGATTATATATTTTAAAAGTTAGATTTATTGAGGTACACCTTAGGCATAATAAAATTTGCCCTTTAAAAATGTGCCATTAGATGAATTCTGACAAAATGAAACAGTCACATGTCCTCTTCCACAATCAAGATATAGACCCTTTCCATCCCCACGAAAGGTATTTTGTGCTTCTTGTGGTCAATCTTCTCCCCTCATTCCAAGCCTCTGGAAACCAGGGGTCTGTTTTCTGTCCAAATAGATTCACTTTTTTCCGGAAAGCCATATAAGTGGAATCCTACAGTATGCAGTATCCTACAGTATGTAAAAACAAATTTTTACATAGTCCTTTGCATCAATTCTTTCTTAATGGTTTGTGTTTTTTATATTCTATTCCATCTGACTTCTTTCACTCAGCACACTGCTTTTGAGATTCATCCATGTTTCTTTGAGTGTTAATATTTCATTCCTTTTTGTCCCTGAGTAGTATTCAGTTGCATGGATGTATCACAATTTGATTCCCCAGATGAGGGAGGGTACTGGGCTGTTCCCAGTTTCAGGAATGCTGGTCTTTGTGCTAACATATATTTTCATATTTCTTGGGCATACATAGGGCTGAGAGATTTCTGGGTCATATGGGAAGCATATGTTTAACTTTAGAAGAAATTGTCCCACTGTTCTCCAAAGTTGCTATAGCATTTCCCATCCCCACCAGCAGCAATGTATGAAACTGTCAGTCATCCTGTGTCCTCACCAGCACTTAGTAATACCAGTCTTTTTAATTTTAGCCATCTTAATAGGTATTTAGTGGTATCTTATTGATACCACTTAAAACCTCTTATTGAGGTTTTAATTAGCATTTCCTAATGACTAATGATGTGAGCATCTGTTCATGTACTGATTTGCCACAGCTTATCTTCTTTAATGAAGTGTTTATTCAAATCTTTTGCCCATTTTTAAATTGGTTTGACATTATTATTGGATAGTAAGAGCATTTTATATGTTCTGTGACATAGTATTTTATCACAAATGTGTTTTGCAAATATTTTCTCCTAGTCTATGGCTTATCTTTTCATTTTCTTTACAGTGTCTTAAAAAGAGCTTTTTGGTATTTTCTTTTTTAAGACTAGTCAATGAAGAAAACGTTTCAAAACAAATTTTTATATAGTCATTTGCATCAATTCCTTCTTAATGGTTTGTGTTTTTCTATATTCGATTCAAGGAATCTTCCCCTAAATCATTGTTTAGAAGAAGTCTTATAGCTTTAGCTTCTACATTTATGTCTATGATCCACAGCAAATTAATTTTTGTTTATGGTGCAAGGTAAAGGTCAAGGTTCTTTTCATCTCCCCATTTAGCTTTCCAATTTTTCTAACACCATTTGTTGAAAAGCCTATCCTCTCTTATTGAATTACCTTGGCACCTTTGTTGAAAATCAATTGACCATACAAGTCTGAGTCTATTCTTAGACTATCTATTTTGTATGATTGAGCTATACAACTATCTTTATGCCAATAAGGGTGTTGTTAACTACAGCTTTATAGTTAAGTCTCGAAATGAGGTAGTGTGTCTTGCACGCCTTTTTCCCCCTTCCAAAATGAACTTTATTTCTGATTATAAAAATCCATGTTCATTATTTAAAAAAAAATAATATAGAAATATTCAAGGCAGACAAAATGTCCCCTCCTCTCCCCTAAACCTATTAGGATTCTACTAGACATGGTTTACAGTTTGGTATAGACCATGAGCTGGCAAACTTTTACTGTCAAGGACCAGATAGTAAATATTTTATGCTTTGTGAGCTACACAAGTAGATAAAAGCTGTCATGGACAATATGTCAATGAATGAATGTGGCCGTGTCCCAGACAAACTTTATTTACAAAAACAGGTAGCAGGTCAGATTTGGCCCACTGGCCATAGTTTGCTGTCTACCCACAGCATAGATCTTTGAAAACTGCTCCCTATGCTTGTACACACACGTACTTTTCTTCATGTTATATGGATACTTCAGCATGTGGGCATCTTTCCTTGGCTCCCACACCTTTGTGAAAGAACAGCCACATAGTATCCCACTATAGAGATAAACTACAGTTTATTTAGCCAAACCTCTATTGAAGTACCTTTAGGTTGCTCCCCATTTTTGCTATTACAAACAATGCTACAATACCATTCAGGCAGACAGTGAGGGTCATGAGGGGAGGGGCCAGTGATCTTTGGTCACTGATGCAATTATTTCTTTGGATGAATTCCTAGATGCTGGATGTTTACCTGGCCATCTGGTCTGCCAGGTTTGAAAACTTGGGGTTGTCTTGAACATTCTCCTTTTTCTCTGTCCACATCAAGCAACCAAGTATGGTCAATTTCTACTGTGCTGTGTTTCTCCAGCCTCTTAACCTCACGTCCATTCTCATGGCCACATCCAGGCCCAGGCCAGGAAGAAAACCTCCGTGAGAGTCTTGCCACCTGTAGCCTCTTCGGACTCTAGTCTTTTTGCAATACTCCCACAAGTCTGAACATTACCCAGGACTGTGTTGCTGTGTAATTCTTGTAGAATTCTTCAGATCAAGGAACCTCAGTGGCTCACATCACCCTGTTTGGCCTGTCGTTCACAGACAGCACTGTTCCCTGTGATTAATTTCCCAGCATCAACCCCCAGAAGGGCATGGGGAAAAGTCCAGAGTTGGAATGAGGAACACCATTTGCCTTGTGACATGTCCTCATTCCTGATTTGAACTAAATAATGATACTAATAATACTAACAACCATCACCACCATGCATATTTACTTTGAACTCAAAAACAAGAGTAAACATAATATCATCACCATAATTATCCTGGCAGCTCTTACCCTATTCTCATTAATATCTGATGTGTTTTACACATTCTAACACTTTTAATCCTTGCACCATCTGTATTGAGTTGAGTAGTGTCCCTCCAAAGGTATGTCCACCCAGAACCTCAGAATGTGACCTTATTTGGAAAAAGGGTCTTTGCAGATATAATTAAGGTAAGAGTTTCAAGATGAGCTCATTCTGAATTAGAGAGAGCTTTAGATCCAATGATGAGTGTCTTTATGAGAGACAGAGAAGGAGATGACACAGAAACAGACAAGGGCAAAGGCCATGCGAAGTTGAAGGCAGAAACTGGAATCATGCAGCCCCAACCAAGCCAAGGAACACCAAGAATTGCCAGCGGCCCCAGAAGCTAGGAATGAGGCATGGAACAGACTCTCCCTCAGAGCCTCCAGAAAGAACAAACCCTGCCAGTACCTTCAATTTGCACTTCTGGCCTCCAGAACTGTGAGAGAATAAATTTCTGTTGTTTCAAAGCCAAGTTTGTGGTCATTTGTTATGGCAGCCCTAGCAAACGAATACACCCTCCTATGAAGTAGACCGTTTCACAGGTGAGGAAATGGGAACACAGGTTAAGGAACTTGCCCAAATACTCCCTATACCTGAGGAATTATTAATAGCTATTATCAGAGCTAGCTAGTAGAGAAACCAAGAGGAACCCAGGAAGTCTAGTTCCAGCATCTGTACTCTTAGCCCAAAGCTTTATTTCATTTTACATATGTGGCTATCTTACCATTAAGTTCTCGGTGGGCAAAGACCAGGCTTGCTCCTTCTTGGAACCCCACTCAGGGCTCACCACAATCTGGGAAATACAACAGGTACTCCACAGTGTTTTTTGATATTGGTAAACTAACTCTGAAACATGTCAACATGGTAATTCACAATTTCTTCACTTACAGACAGAGTCAAAACTACAGGAAAGCAAACATTTCAAGAAGAAAATGAGGATAACCTAGATGCTGAGCAGTGAGCACTGAACCTCTTTCTTCTACTCTTCCTTTGATATACACAATTTCCCTTCTTCTTTACAACAATCCTGTGAAGTGTGCCATTTTATTAACAGAGAGGTTAAGTAACTTACAGAAGGTCATAGAGCAAACAAGTGGTACAACTAGTCTTTGGGTGCAGGAGTCTGAAGTCAGAATCCATTGCGCTATCCTGAATACTTCTCTCTGCTCCCTCCTCTCCTCTGTCCCATTTATCCTGAACATCTGTCACCTCACTGTACTGTTCTTGCAATGGGGTCCCTTTCCAGTAACTTCAATGAATACTCAATCTTAGAGTCTGATCAATATACTGGAAGTGTCTTCTGTGGGATGGCAAGAGGTATTTCATGAAAAAGAGTACCTTGGTCAAACAGGTGTGACAACGACTGGATTAGACAAGTTAAACCCCTTCCCCCCTCCTTTTTTGTAGCTGTTTGGAGGGAAGGTACAGAGATCAAACTGTCTAGATTCAAACCTCAGCCGTGTCACTCACTAGCTGTATGGACTAGGAAAAGTTACTTTGCCTCTCTGTGTCTCAAAATCCTCACCTTTAAAATGGGATAATAGAACCCACCCCCTAGGGTTATTTTTTGGATAAAAAGGGAAAATATGTATAGAAATGTTTAAAGTGGTGTCTGGCACAAAGTAGCATTTGACAAAACTTTTAGTTATTATCAATAGCTATTATTACAAGACTTGTCAGAGCCTTTACTAGGCAAATGTCCACTGTGACTCTTCATGAAAGGATGTGATTATTTCCTCAACCTCAGTGCTAGGCTGAGATGGACAGAACATACACCATATTCCAAATATGTGCATTCCCAACATTCTAGAAGATATCTTCTCACAAATCAGAAAGGGGAATCCCTGGCCTTTGGGCAGGCTGTTGGAGGAAGCTCTGGGTTGCAGCTGCCGATGGAAGAAGATGAAGCTGAGAGACAACTATCTTAGCCCCATCCTCTCTTCTCGTGATACAGTGAGGCCCAGGTCCCAGGCCACATCAGTTAAGGTTCGGCATCATCATCACTGATGGCCAAGCACTGGGAGCAGCTCCTGAGCATGAAGTGAGAGATGCCACTGTGGGGGCTGTATGACACTCTGCCGCGTCTTACATTTGTCAAGAACTGAGCATGCAGGAGCTGATGCTGCAGAAATTCACAAGGAGTCCAAAGGCTGCCCTGGTTCTGTTCTTGGGATCTGCGAGTTTGTCACGGCCCCTTGCATAATCAGTTCATCGGTGCTACTCCTGCCTGTGAAACTTTATTACCCGGGGAAATGCTGAGTGTGCACACTTGGAGCTTCAGAGTGCAGAAAACTTTCTGAGTAATTTAGGGGAACGGGCTGATACAGAATCACTGTAAGCAGGGCTCCCAAGGGGGAGCTTTATCCACCATGAACAAATTCATGGCTTCTTGAGATTTCAGATCTGAACACAACGACCCTGACCCAACAAGCTCCAGCATCTTGGAGGGCAGGGCTGTTCGTTTTGCACACACTGGGTTCTTGTTCTCCAGACACTGGGCTCTTGGGCTCCAGTCCCAGTGCAGGCAGGATGAGCATGCCCGAAAGGGGAGCACAAGACATATCCGATGCCAAACGGGACTCTGCACACCAGCCTCAACCAATCCCCAGTCCTGGTGCCTGTGCTTCATAATCTCCCTGTTCCCAGCCACTGTCCCTTCCACCTGCCTCCACTCTGGCTCCCCGTAGTGTCTTTTCCACATGGCTGCAGGGTGCTCCTTCTAAAAACATTCATCTGTTCATGTCACTCCTCAGCTCAAAACCTTCCAGTGGCTTCTCATGTACTCAGAATAAAGTCCAAAGTCCTTAACATGGCCTCCAGGCCCTGAATAATCTCATCCCCGTTGCTACTCTGACTTCCACTCCTGCTCCTCCCTGGCTGCTGCTGCAGACCCGTTGGCCTCCTTGATGTGGTTCTGGAACACACCCAGCATGCACCTGCTACAGGGCCCTTGCCGTCTGCTTAGCACGACCTTCCAGGGCATCCGCATCACTCACAATTCCATTCAAGACTCTACTCCTTTCTGGCCCACCGACATCACTCTCCATCCCCCCACCCACCTCGTCTACCTTCACAGCACTGTTACTGCCTGTCATTGTACATTCTATTTGTATTTAATTGTCTCTCTTTCCTACTGGAATAGAACTCCCTGAGGGCAGAACTGAATTCTGCTTGCTCATCCCTGAATCCCCAAAGCTCCAAATAGTAAAAATTTGCTGGGAGAAGCCGGCAGAGTGTCTCTAACTCTGTGGCCCTGTGAAGTCTTGGCTTGTGCATCTTTCCTATGAGACTCCATGCCTTCATGGCCATCATTCCATTCAGCCTCACAGGTGAGAAAAAGAAGACTGAGAGAAGTGAGGTCATTTGCCCCAGGTCACACAGCCAGGAAGTGATTGAGCTGAGACACGAGCCCAGGTCTGTCTGGCCAACACCCAGAGATGACACATGGTATGAGGGCAGGTCCCACTCAACCAGTTTTCCCGGTGATCTGTTTTGGGGAAGGGAAAACCACCCTTGTGGCTGAAATATTCACACTGTTATTGATGGGCACTGGCTGAGCTCAAGATTTATAGAGAAAACACATGTTCACTGTACAAAAACAGTCTCATCCTTCTAGAATCTTCCTTCTCACAAATGAGGTGGGATCAATGTAACCCTTTCCCAGAATCATCTAGAGATCCACCAACTCGCAGGACCAAAAGTGTGGGGCCAGTGCAGGCAGACTCCTCTCCCAAAGTGGCCAAGATGGTGCCTTGACATAGTCACTCCAGGCCAACCCTGCAGACTGGACCTGGGTCTGCCCCCACTCACAGCCCTTCCAGGACTTCTTATTTGCCAAGGGTCAAGTCCCACGCCCTCATCATGAAGGTCAAAGCTCTTCACCCCCACTTTCTCCCCACTCTCCTCTCTCTCACTGCCTCCTTCTCTAGCCAGCCACGCCTAGAACAACTTGCCTGACTAGTGCCTAAATCCTGTCAACGCTGGGCCCCACAGCCTTCTGGTTTAAAAGAGGCAACTGAAAGCATTTAATGAAGGGACAGCGGGATTAAAATTGGGACTGTAAAATCAGGATGAACAACTTGTACCTGCCACAAAGTTTAGATGAACACTGAAGACTGTTTTAAATTTGAGCCGAGTGAAGCGACTGTGAGCTTGCTTCTGTAGTTTCCTTTTACCTGGACGAAGAGTCTGACCCTTCACACTAGATTAAAACGGGCCTTGGGAGTGCTGAATGGCAGAGAAGAGAAAACGCTGCTGAGAGGGAGGCAGGGAGAACAGTTGGGATTCACAGGGGCACAGAGCCTCCAAGCTGTGATGCGATGGAGGGGAGTCTGGCTGGGTCCACAATTCATTCGTCCACTTGGAGAGCCCAGATCCTGGCTGGGCCCTGTGCTCAGGTGCGGGGAGCAGGCCTGACCCCAATGGCACTCCCAGGGTGGGAGCGGCCCTGGGGGTCCCATTTCACTCCTGCATGCCTCCTACCATGGCCTCTGCCACAGTGGCAGCCACACTTTCTCAAGCCTGGAAGCATCAAGGGATTGTCTGGGCCACTGTAAACCAAGGGCATCCCCACATCCACCCTGACTTTCCTGTCTAAAAAAAGCATCCCATGGGGCTGGAGCGCCTTTGCGGATCCCTATTCCAAGCACATCACCCATCCCAATTTAGATGCGGATTGAAAAAGTTTAATTTAAAGGGCAGACCAGCAAATGACTGAATCAAAAGAGAGCCATGAAAACCCCGCTGAACCATTACCATGGCAACTCAAGTTGCTAAAATTAACTGAAAAGAGGGTGATGGGAAAACTGGAGCTGCGCAACCTCAGACCGGCCACAGCAGGGGCCATCCTGGCCCCAAGCCAGAGGGAAATGAGAGAGGAGACCCATCTGCCAGGATGCTGGGAACCAGGACCATTGAGAGCTGGGAGACAAGTGCCCGAGGATTAAATTCAAAATGAGAGGGAGGGAAAGCAAGGGGAGGGGGAGTGGAAGAGGAACAGGGAGGGAGAGAGGGAGGGAGCGAGGGGGAGAGAAAGAGAGGGGTGGGGGAGAGAGAGACAGAGAGAGAAGAAAGTTCTAAACTGAAGACCGAATGAAGTAGACACTTCCCTGGAAATTTTCAGTCATTCTTATTCCAAAAGACTGCAGAGGTTTTCTATCTGCCTAACCACTGCCATCCTTTGGGCAAATGGGAGCAGGGAGTCTCCCTGAAAGCTGCATTCCATCCTTTCAATAAGTGCTACTGAACAGCCAACTGGTATCAATGGCCCCTAATTTCTAAGCTGTTCACCCCAGAGAGTTTCTTAGAATGGAGGAAAGCCCCCAGCAGTCCCAGAGCTCTTTGAAGCCTGCTAAGAGCTGCTGTACACCCTCAGAATTTGATCTCTGTGTCTGATGAGGAAGGGCCCAGTGATAAGCCAGGGAGTCGGGTGGCTAATGGCCTCTTTGCTAAGACACAGACTCAGGGCAGTTGCAGAACTGGTTGGAGGGTAAGGCATTTAATTGGCTGTTTAAGATAGAAAAGGGCTTTTTTTTTTTTTTGAGACAGGGTCTCACTCTGTTGCCCAGGCTAGAGTGCAATGGCATTTTTTAAGTAGGAATTCAGATTGCCACTAAAACTCAGTGAGAGGGTAATTGGGAGCTAGGGCCCAGGTGGCCTTTTTAGAACTCTGCTCAATTGTGTCATTGCTTCAGAAATGTCAACAGAAGAATGCAGTGAAAATGAGGGGTAGGAGTTCTTTGCTACCTCTCCTACTGCAGGCCACAAAAGCAGCAGAAGCCAATGAGAGACAGCACGGGAAGGGGGTGGGACTTGGTAATGAGCTCATGCACCTGCACCGGGATCAATCTAATCATTCTACCCATCCAAAGGGAAACCTCTGAGGCATCTGCCTCCTCTGCATCGAGTGGCTTCGCCAGATCCAGATTCCTATATATGATATCCTGGGCTGCTCCTGCAGGCCACATCTGGAAATGACTATCCATGCCTCTGGAATTTGCTGAATAAGGAAGGCTCTAAAGAACTACTATTTCTATTGCTTACTGTAGCTATTTACCTGTAGTGTTTGGTGGAAGCCGCAAAATTAAATGCTTAGCAGACATTCTTTGAACTCAATGGTCAGTTGGTTTCTGGTCCAGTAATAAGGCTTGGCCAATTACAATACAATAGTTTATTGAGCCTGCCGAGTCAGCAGCCAGAGCGAATACTGCTAACTCAAGCAGGATGCAGGGAGCGGAGATGCTTTGATCAGTTTGTGAGTGTGGTGTAATCACACACAAATAGCATTGCAGGGAAAAGCAAACCCTAAAAACTGGAGAGAGAAAAATCTACTTCAGGCAGGCCATTGTTGCAAATAAAACCTCACTTGTGGGAGTTGGGAAAGCAAGTATCATCATTAAATAGCAATTACAATCCTGGGCCAGGGACCCCAGGCAGTCACTGGAGCTGCAGGCCTCAGTGTTAAACCTGGTTCCTTCCTTTCCTTTTCCATTCATGTCCAACTCAGGGGCAGGTCCTGCTGATTCTGCTTCCATAATATGGGACAAGTTACCATCATCTGTTGCATGGATTACCATGTGAACCTCTACTTGGTCTCCCAATTTCTGATCTTGCCCCTCTCCAATCCATTTTCCACACAGCACCTACAAAGCTCGTTTTAGGAAATAAATAAGACCATGGTATGTTTCCTGCTTTATATTCCCACCAAGCATTGCTCACTGTACTGGAAATACAAACTCCTAGCAATGGTTTAGACATATGATCTCTACAAGAGGCCCTTGGCTCTTCTACAACCTGCCTGTTAGCATCCTGTGTTCTAGCTCAGGGGTCAGTCCAGCCTACTGTCTGCTTTCATAGATAAAGTTTTATTGGTACACAGCCATTCCCATTCATTATGTATCATCTATGGCTGCTTTCATGCTACAATGGCAGAGTTGCATAGTTGAGACAGTGACTCTAGGGCCCATCAAGCCTAAAATACAAACTGACCCAAGAAGGGCTAATGTTAATTCCTTGAGGAGACCAATACTACAATGAACCATGAGCTTAGAGATGCACAGCTTTTATTCAGCTTATAGTCTCTTTGGGAAGTTACTCTAATACACAAAATGCGGCAATCAGCATGAGGTAACTATAACTGCTGTAGAAAATAAATGGAGAAATGAAGAAATCAAGGAAGAAATCAAGCACACCCCTCTCCCGCTATCCCTCCATTAGCTCTTTTGCTTTTTGTTATCTGTAGAAGTAAGCTACTGAAATGTTCCTACAGGAAATGGCAAACTTGGTCTCAATCTTGGCTATGAAATACCTGAACAGTTAAAAATCTATCTGTTCTTGCCACCACCACCTCCCTGGGTGGTTGAGCAATACTGCCTGCCTGTGCAATCCTGTCTTCTGAGAGGTACTTGGATGTCTCATATTTATACTTCTTGAAATGAAGTCTTGGTGGAGCATTTGAATGTTCTTTAAGACAAGGTGCTGGAGGCTCTATTCCAACACCAGTGGGCCTCCTGGGCAGTGGGTCACTGAACCCGGTTGTTCCATAATAGATGAATAACTACAGGGTCTCGGGCTGTGGAGGATTCAAAGTTACTCATTCAATTCTATAAAGAGGAAATAATAACCAAGTATCCCTGGGCCGCTTTAGAATCCCTGTTGAAAGCCCTCGAAACACCTAAGACAGACTGGAGAGCTCAGACAAGCATTTTAAACATTAATGGGGCTGTGTTTAAAACAAGAAAGTGAAGAAATCAAAGTCTTCTGTTGCCAACAGAGGGCCCAAGCTGGCCTCCTTAGGAAGAGGAATAAAAGGACCTACACCGTCTGATGTGATACAAAGATGAATCCCACGGAGGGCAGGCAGCAGAATGAATTCACTCATTCATCCTACATTTCCTAGCACCTACTAAGGGCCAGCCAGGGTGCCAGAAGATTCTGAGCCACTGTTATGGGGCATGAGTTATTGGGGAATGGATGGGGAGCTCTGGGAACCTCAGGATTACCATGGCTAAGATTATTTAAAATATATTTTTTGAATAGGCAAAATATGCATGATTCAAAATTCAAAAAGTAAGAAAGGATTTGCAGACAAAAATAAGTCTGTTTCATGTATCTCTCTCCTAGCCATGGGCTTCCCCTCCCCAGAGGCAACCCTTGGCACCCATTTATTTTGTTCAGTTTCTTTTTTGTGAAGCCTTCCAGGAATAGTACAGGCATATATTAGCACATATCTATGGTTTTAACATGCATGGTTACACCCTGATTTTTTTACTTAATTAAGCACATCAATACATACTTTTAACCAATTACCATTTTGTCTATTTAATAAATACCTATACAGCACTTTCTATATGCTAGGTTCTCCTTTTTTAAAATTTAATTTTTTATTTGGAGATAAGTTTAGACATACACAAGAGTTGCAAAAATAGTACAGTTTGGCCAGGCATGGTGGTTCACACCTGTAATCCCAGCACTTTGGGAGGCCGAGGCAGGTGGATCACGAGGTCAGTAGTTCGAGACCAGCCTGACCAACATGGTGAAACCCTGTCTCTACTAAAAATACAAAAATTAGCCAGGCATGCTGGCATGCGCCTGTAATCCCAGCTACTCAGGAGGCTGAGGCAAGAGAATTGCTTGAACCCGGGAGGCGAAGGTTGCAGTGAGCCGAGATCACACCATTGCACTCCAGCCTGGGTGACAGAGCGAGACTCAGTCTCAAAAAAAAAAAAAAAAAAAAAAAAGTACAGTTTCTGCAAATCCTTCATCTAGGTTCCCCTAGTGATGATCCCTTTCCTAACCACAGAACAACTGCTAAAACTGAGTTAACCTTGGAACAACTGTATTAACTAAGTTAATAGAATTGATTCAAATTTTGCCAGGATCCCACATGGCATTGATCTCCTCTAATCGGTGACAGTTTCTCAGTCTTTCCTTGTTCTTCATGACTTTAATACTGTGAAGAGGATCGAGAAGTTATTTTGTAGAATGTCCCTCAATTTGGGTTTTTCTGATGTAGTTTCACAATTGTGAGAATATATATTATTGAAAAGAGTATCAGAGCATATTCAGTGTATCCCATCAGGGGATACCTGAAATGCATTCACTGATGATGTTAACTTTGATCACTTTATCTGCCAGGATTCTTCACTGCAAAGTTACTATTTCTGTCTTTGTAGTCAATAAATATTTTGGGGGAGATTCTTTGAAACTATGCAAATATCCTGTTTCTGCTTAAACTTTCACCCACTAATTTTAGCATTCATCATGGACTTTGCCTGCTGCCTGCAGCAAATATTACTGTGTTGTTCTCATGGTGTTTTTTCCCCCCTATTTCCTTGATTCCTTCTACATTTCAATAATTACAATTTTTCTATAAGGAAGATTTGCTTTCTCCAATTTATTTATTAATTATTTATTTACTTCAGATGGACTTGTTATTTAAGCTACTCTCTGAGTTATAAAACCCAATATTATTTGAATGGGTTCCCTCCAAAATACAAGTACTGCCAATGTAATGGTACTGAAGGGTGAGGCATTTAAGGGCGATCAGGCCAGGAAGGCTCTCTCCTCAGGAATGGGATTGGGGCACTTACGGAAGGGGCATCATGCAATGTTTGGCTAGCTGCCCTTCGGCCACCTGGGGACACAGTGATTGTCATCGCTAGAGGATGCAGCAATAGGGTAGTATCTTAGAAGCAGAGAGCAGCCCTCGCTAGATGGCTGAACCTGCTCGCGCCTTGATCTTGAACTTCCCAGGCTCCAGAACTGTGTGAAACAAATTTCTGTTCTTTATAGATGATTCAGTCTCAGGTATTTTGTCACACCAGCACAAAACAAAGGCATTATTATTTATTTTGTTGCTCAGGTTGTTTCACCTTTGGCCACGGGGAACACTTTCAGGTTGGCTCCCGCATCCTTTCAATGCACCTCCATGTTCTTATTTTTTTGTTGTTTGGTTTGGGGGCTACTTGTTTACTTTCTGGGAGAAGATGCTTCGGGCTCATCTTGTATTTCCCAGCCCCAGGCCTAGAATCAACTCTAACTCTTCTTAATAGCTGCACAGTGAGTGTGCCATTTGTGGAGATGTAGAAATGATTTATTTATAACCAGGATCTATCTATTTCCAAACTTTTCTATTATAATCTTTTATGATAAAAATCCTCGTAGGTGGGCTGTTTCATACATAAGCAGTTGTTAAAGTAAAACCTAAGCATTTACAAAGACCTAGGAGGCCCTCTCTGAGCAGCCCCCGTGTTCTCTCTCTGCCCTCGCTCCAGATGTTCTATTCCCTTCCCCAGTGTGGTGGACAACCTCTGAGGCAGCTCCTCCAATGCCTGCCTTTTGAGATTCATGCCCTTTTGTGATCCCTTTCCCGTGAGTTGTGGTTGGACTTATTTCTCACTTTTTTTTTTGAGACATGATCTCACTGTGGATACAAGCCCTTCAATAGCCCTTCACACTCCAACACCCAGGCTGGAGTGCAGTGGCACAATCATGGCTTACTGCAGCTTCAGCCTTCCAGCCTTAGGTGATCCTCCTGCCTCAGCCTCCTGAGTAGCTGGGACCCCAGGTGCATGCCACCATGCCGGCTAATTTTAAAAATTATTTTTAGAGACAGGGTCTCCTTATGCTGCCCAGGCTGATCTTGAACTCCCTCTGTTTCCCAAAGTGTTGGGTTTATAGGTGGGAAAAACCACACCCAGCCATTTCTCATTTCTAATTAATGAAAGATGATGGAAATAAGATGTCACTTCCAATACCAGGTTATCAAAGGACTGTGGTTTCCGTTCCATCTTAGCTACCTGCTCTTGATCATTTTCTCGTTTGCTTGCTCTAAGAACCATGATGTGAGCTGCCCTATGGAGAAGTCCACGTGCCCAGGAACAGAGGGAGGCCTCCAGCAAACAGATAGCCAGTGAGGGACTGAGGCTCTCATTCCAGCAACCCACAAGGAACGGAAACCCCCTAGTTGAAACTTCAGATGAGACCACAGTTCCAGCAGACAGAAGAAGTGCAATCACATGAGAGATCTTAAGCCAGAGAAACTCGTGTACAAAAAGTAGAATCAGGGTCGGGTGCAGTGGTTCATGCCTGTAATCCCAGCACTTTGGGAGGCCAAGGTGGGTGTATCACGAGGTCAAGAGTTTGAGACCAGCCTGGCCAACATGGTGAAAACCCGTCTCTACTAAAAATACAGAAATTACCCGGGCTTGGTGGCGGGGGCGCCTGTAATCCAGCTACTCGTGAGGCTGAGGCAGGAGAATTGCTTGAACCCAGGAGGCAGAGGTTGAAGTGAGCCAAGATCGCACTACTGTACTCTAGCCTGGGTGACAGAGCAGGACTCCATCTCAAAAAAAAAAAAAAAAAAAGTAAAATCAACAAGTCTTGCTAGTGACAGGGCTGTACAGGTAAATCATTCTAGAGGTGCTTCCTTCCTAGGACTGACGCTCTCTTGACCTCGTATAAGAGCCTGATGCTCTCTTGGCCAACATGACCTCCTGTTCACATCTGGCCAGCCTTCAAGATTCAAATGGCCACTAAGCCACTTTCTCCTTGACTTCTCCCCTGAGTTCCCTAACTAGAAATAACCACGCTCTGCCTCTGCCTCCCACTGTGCTTTACCTGACCCATGTCATGGCACATCTTACTCTCTCCCACGTTGTAGAGTTACGGACATAGCTAGTCTTCCGTAAAGCAAACATTAAACTTGTCAAGGGCTGGATTCTCCTCTCAGTCATGTTTATAACCCATCCCTCTCACTGCTAAGCACTTAGCTCAGCCTTGCACATATATATTAGTATTCTAAAATATCTGTAAAGCTAATATGTAGTAATAAGCCTTAAATGATGGGTTCAGGACCAACAGGCAGCCCCAGCACCTACCGCATACAGTATTAACTCTTAGAAGCATTATTATCACCACTCGATATTTCAAGAATGAATGTTTGCTTCTCTAACAAGGATGTAATTTTCTCGACTCTTCATGATTTTCCTCTCCAATTTTTGAATTTCTAAGTTGAGAAGAAATAAGAAATAACTCCAGACCAAAAGTTGAGGGCCTCTAGCTTAATTCTGCTATTTTCATACATCAAGTGCTTCTTCTGGTGATACTTCCACCCAGAGCAACAAGGAGACACCGCTGTTAACACCAACGGAAAATCTGTACTGGAGACCCAGGGAGCAGGAACTTCCAGGCAGGAGCATAAACAAGATTCATGTCAATTAATATTCTACTCATCGCTTCTGAGCATTTGCTGGCCACCCTATCATTGCCGGCAAAGCTCCTCTTGTAACAGTATCTATGTCCAATTGCACTAATTGAACACACAAATGAGGGAGATAAAGGGAGACTCAGCTAATTGTATTTTTTCATTGGCTTCCGAGGAGAAAAACCCATAATCAGTCATAATTACAAACTTCCCTTGTGGTCTCAGCAGCACAGGCCCCAAATGGAGCTATTCTGAGGCATCTTGCTTGATGGCAGACAACAGCTCTTAAACCCTTTTTTGATCTGTAAAGACTTTGGGGGAATAACAGGAGATGCTGTGGACCTTCTTGCTTCCTTCTGCTTACATCCCTCAACTTCACACCTTCAGCTAAAGATACTGTCATCTGTGGCATCTCCACCATTATCAATTCTCTCTGTGGATAAAAGTCCTTCAACAGCCCTTCATCAGGGACACCAAGACAATGACAGGGCTGTGTGAAGCCGGTGACTGTCCTACTCCTTGGAATTCACTTTTCAAGACGCAGAGGGGAGCACGAAAAGAGCCACAATACTGGGCTTTTCCTCTAGGAAGAGAAAGCTGTAAGCTGCCTTGGGGCATTCATAATGATGACAGTCAAATGTGGGGTAAGCTCAGCTAAAGGCAGGAATCCCCCGGCCCCACGGAGAACACAGAATGGCTTTGTTGCCTTAATCTGTCCTAAATTCGTAGGTTTCTGTTACCATTAAGAATAAGGCAAAACCAAAATGAACAGAACATGGCGCTGGAGTCCCAGCTGAGCTTGGAAACTATAAATCTTAGTTTCCTCTTAGTTTCAAGTCACTTATAAATGAAGAGGAGGAAGAACCTGGGAACCTGAGGGGAAGATGGGGGCTGTGCATTAGGGCGGGGGCAAGAATAGGCGGCTCCAGCCTGTTGTCATAGGTGCTCAAGGGACTTCTGCAGAACAAGTGCCAATGTGACAACCCAAGTGACTGTCTGGCAGGAGACAGGAATGTCCAAATACTGAAATGATAGCTTAGGAAAACTTTGCAAACTTAAGAACCAGAGGAAAACTGAAACCATTAAAGAAGAAACTCCAGGCCGGCACTGTGGCTCACGCCTGTAATCCCAGCACTCTGGGAAGCCGAGGCAGGTGGATTACCTGAAGTCAGGAGTTCAAGACCAGCCTGGCCAACATAGTGAAACCCTGTCTCTACTAAAAATACAAAAAATTAGCAGGGCGTGGTGGTGGGTGCCTGTAATCTCAGCTACTCAGGAGGCTGAGGCAGCAGAATCGCTTAAACCCGGGAGGTGGAGGTTGCAATGAGCAGCCATTGCACTCCAACCTGGATGACAAGAGCAAGACTTCATCTCAAAAAAAAAAAAAAGAAAGAGAGAGAAACTCCAATGACATCAAGAAAAACCCAACATGCCAAAGAAGAGCACGAGTTGTCTAAGTGTAGGAGGGACATGGGAGGAGAAGAAGGACCAAGCCTGGAACTGTTTGGCCACTGGTTGGCTCGTTTTTCCACTTTGGGCCAACTACTTACCTTCTTTGTACCTCAGTTTCCTGGTCTCTTTATGCTGCCCCGGATATAGCAGGAAGAGATGGCTTGGACCTGACCCCCTTGCTATGCCATATTTATGACAAGGGGATACCCAGGATGTTCTGCCCAGAGCCTCCGATTTTCCTCTGACATGCACATTGTAAAATGCTTCTGTCTCACTTCACCAAGTTTGCCCATAAATACATTCAGCCCCCAAATTGCTTTAACTACAGAAGAAGGAAATTGCTTCACTTGGCAAAAGGTTCTCCCCGGGTCAGCTAATGGCAGTCTGGTATGTACGTCTGTGATGGATTTTTTTTTTTTTAAACTAAAAGCCATTGTGCTTAATGAGAATTGGAAAAGTGCCGTGGAACCAGCATTCACTGGGGCCCATCCTGGCCCCTCTGGTGAGCTGTAACTGCCTTCAGAAATCACACACTATTCCAGAAAGTAACAGCTGACCTCAAAAAGTGTGCTTCCCAAACCAAAGAAAGTCACTAGCTGAGATGTTGTGACCTAACAGTGAAGGGGCAAGGGTGGAGAAGCCTTCTGGGGTTATGCATTTGGAAATGAGAAGCTCAGACAAAGTGCTCCATGTTAAATAAAAACAAGACCCCGTAATCATTACAGTGAGGGACAATCTACACTTCTTTAACTCTTTGCTGTGGAGATTCTAGAAAGTTCTTTGCAAGTATCCAAATATCATCTCATGTGCCGCCTGGGGAAATTTTCCAAGATGTCCAACACTCGCACTCCGGCTCTTACCACCAGTGAGCAAAATTAAAGACTGCCTTTGTTGGGCCAGGTTTTCCTACCTGTTGGATGGGTGCCCATGGACATTAAAAAGGAGTTGAGACGATGATGCACTGACATCCAACACAGACCACAGACTCTGGAGGCTGACAGACCCATGTCTGAATCCTGGCTCTACGATTTATTGGCTTTGCAACTGTGGCAAGTTACTTAAACTCCTGAGCCTGTTTTCCTCATCTGTAAAATGAAGGATAAGAGCATGCATCTCATGAGGTGTTTGTGAAGATCAGACATGGTCGTTATAAAGTATGTAGCACAGGGCTGGACGCGGGGGCTCACACCTGTAATCTCAGCACTTTTGGAGGCTGAGATGGGAGGATCGCTTGAGGCCAAGAGTTCAAGGTCACGGTGAACTATGATTGCACTACCGTACTCCAGCCTGGGCAACACAGTGAGACACTGTCTCTATAAAAAATTTAAAAATTTGCTGGGCATGGTGGCATGCTCCTGTAAACCTAGCTACTCAGGAGGCTAAGGAGGGAGGATCGCTTGAGCCCAGGAGTTTGAGGTCACAGTGTGCTATGACGGCACCATTGCACTCCAGCCTGGGCGACAGAGCAAGACTCTGTCTCTTAAGACAAATAAAAACACATAATTAAATAAGTATGTAGCACAGTGCCTGGCAAACAGTCTAAGGGGTCATTAAATATTTGCAGCTGCTGCTGCCAGTGCCACCATCACATCCCCCTCTGCCGTGTCCTTCTTCCTAGCTCCCTGTCAGGGTCTGACTTTACTGACTTAGGTGCCCCTGGGACATCTATCTGTAGTATGAAGGTGACCTTGGAAAAACAAGGGAGATGCATGAATTCCATCTACAGCCTAAACTGGGGACTTATAATAATTTCCTTCTTTTTCTCAAGTTGAAGAAAAATGAAAAGTGGGGACTTACAATAATTTCCTTCTTTTTCTCAAGTTGGAGAAAAATGATAGTGAATGAGTGGCACACAGCACACAGATCTCAGGATCTGTGGTTCAAATCTCCCTCTGCCATTTGCTACGCAAGTGACTCTGAACAAGTTCCTCAAGTCTCAAACTTCGGTGACTAGGAAGATGAAAGATGCATGTCAAGTGGTCAGCATCTCTGGCCTGTAGGAATGGCTCAACCGTGAGAGGTGCTGTTACTATTATTATTGGGTATTCCTGCTATAGTCCAATTCCTACATCCTGCATTATAGATAAAGATGTCCCCTGCCAGGCGCAGTGGCTCACACCTGTAATACCAGCACTTTGGGAGGCTGAGGCGGGTGGATCACCTGAGGTCAGGAGTTTGAGACCAGCATGGCCAACATAGTAGCCTTCTCTACTAAAAATACAAAAATTAGCTGGGCGTGGTGGTGCACACCTTTTATTCTGGCTACTCCGGAGGCTGAGGCAGAATTGCTTGAACCTGGGAGGTGGAGGTTGCAGTGGGCTGAGATCCTGCCATTGCACTACAGCCTAGGCGAGAAGAGTGAAACTCCGTCTTAAAAAAAAAAAAAAAAAGATGTCCCCAGGAAGTACCCAAGGAGGGGTCTTTGACACAAGGTGGAAATGAAACAAAGTGGCATTTGCATAAGGCTGAGCTGTGCTTATTTGCCATAAAAATCTATTCCAAGGTATTGCTGTTCAGGTCACACCTGGACAATGATGCATGCTATGCCTAAGGTCCAAGGAAGCTAGAAATCTGAAAATTAAAGGAAGAGTTGAGAAAAACCACATCCGCGACTGCCTCCTTTCCAGCAACTGCCTCTTTTATATTTTGGGGTACTATTTGTTTGGAAAGACTTTGCTAATAGTTTGAGGAGACTACAACACAACACAAGGCAGGCTTGCCTGGCTAAGCCAGCTAGAAGTTTAATTAAATACAATTGCTTGCTGTGTGTTCCTTTCCCAAATGGTTTCATGCATATTCATCGTTGTAATTATGGAAGTGAAAAAATCCACGCCTAATTATTCCGTGCTCCCCATCTTTCACATGCCTAGAATTTTTGCATAATGACTGTTGAAATTAATTGCAAGTTAGTTAATTTTACACTTTGTCCTTTCAAAACTTAATTGAAAATTAATTTAAAAGATACAAAAAACCCCACAAAAACCCACAACAAAAAAATCCCACTACCAGGCATTATGGCAAATCTGGTTTTTCAGACTTACAATGGGCACTAAAAATGTGATGTGATTACTTCTAACTTGAGTGCAGTGTTGTACTTGTCAAGCTATAATAAAAGGCCAGTCCCATAAATGTCTCAGAACTCACATCTCTATTTTTTCTACCATACAGCAACAAAGACTTGTATTGAGTGGGGAGGGCTGTCAGTGGTCCAGCTGTCTTCTGGTTGCTGGTTTATCATGTTGTCCTTCAGAAATTACATCTCCAGCCTTCAAAGAAGACCAGCATGTGGTTTCCATTGTCACTCCATCACACTTCTACCTTCAAATAACTCTACTGGTCCCCATTTTCAGGACCCAACTGCAATCTGGCATGCAAGAAACTTCACTTTCATGCTCAGCAAACCAACAGAAAACATTTCTTTCTCCCCCTCTGTTACTGCACTCTGTTCCCATCAGGTCTTTTATTTGAGTTACTCCCACTAATCCTGTTTTGGGGATCCCTTCTGCGTGGGACCAGGAAGGAGACATTGATCATGTGTCTACCATGTCCTGCACTGAGCTTTCAGCATAAGCAAGAGTTTCATTTAATTTCATCACCTAAGAGTTCCTGACATATAAATCTATCATTATTTCTTGACTGGCTGATTGATAGAAGAACACTTACTGCAAGCCCATGGGTTGAGCACCATCGGCCCCACTTTGAGAGAGAAGGAAAGGCAAGTTCAGAGAAATTAAGTATGCTCCTAAGTTCACACAGCCAGCAAGTGGCAGAGCAGGCATTTGGTGCCAACACTGTCTTCCCCCACCCCATCACCATGTTGCCTCTCCATCCTTTTCCTGATGGCCTGCCATCTTGGCAGTTCAGATTTTAGCTTTTGCCAGCTGTGGTATCTTGGCCATGCCTTTCTTGACCCTGAGTCCTGAAAACGGATTGTTATGGACTGAATGTATGTATCCCCCTCAATTCATATGTTGAGGTCCTAACCCCCAGTGTGATGGTGGTTAAGATGAAGCCTTTGGGAGGTTAGGGAGTAATGAGGTCCTGAGAGTGGGACCCCCATGCTAGGATTAGCGCCCCAGTGAAGAGGGAACACCGGAGTGCGTGCTGAGGAGGACGCCATGAAAAGCTGGCTGTCTATAAGCCAGGAGGGCCCTTACTAGGAACTGAATTGGCGGGCCTTGATCTTGGACTTTCAGCCTCCAAAACTGAAAATTTCTGTTGTTTAAGCCACCTGGTCTGTTTTTTTAATTTTTAATTTATTATTTTTTTTAGATGGAGTCTTGCTGTGTCACCCAGGCTGAAATGCAGTGGCACGATCTTGGCTCACTACACATCCGCCTTTCTGGTTCAAGTGATTCTCCTGCCTCAGACTCCCAAGTAGCTAGGACTACAGGTGCATGCCACCACACCCAGCTAATTTTTGTATTTTTAGTAGAGATGGGGTTTCACCATGTTGGCCGGCCTGTTCTTGAACTCCTGACCTCAAGAGATCTGCCCACCTCAGCCTCCTAAAGTGCTGAGATTACAGGCATGAGCCACCACACCTGGCTCCAGTCTATGGTATTTTGTTATGGCAGCCTAAGCAGACTGTGAGATCATTCCACAGTTTTATTAGATGACCTTGGTTACTCACTTTATTCATTTTGGACTGACTCAGGGTTAAGCTGTGAGAATATAAAGGAAAATATAAGAGAAAAATCAACTCAAGAGGGAGAAGACAACTCTTTATGACACAAAGGAAGCTGGACGGGCTACTGTTAGAAGGTTGAGGCCTGTGACATGCTAAGCAGCGGCTGTCAATCCACCTGGAATGAGCCAGAAAGCGTGTGCGCGCACGCGTGCGTGCGTGTGTGTGTGTGTGTGTGTGTAGAACCACAGCTTCCTGCTACTCCTAACATTATATAACAGGGACCCTCATTGAGAGATGTCTTCGATCGTACCACAGAGGAGATGAATGAATCAACTTGTATTGAGTAGATGAGGAGGAGAAAGAGGTGGAAAGCAAATTAACATAGCACAAAGAAATTGATTTCTTTTTAAGCCCATAGAAGTATCTTCTATAAAGGTGACTTTTGTGATCTGAGCCTTCAACAATTTCAGAAGAAACAATCCATCCTCTAAGAGGCTCCTAAGATTCGGGAGTCTCTTAAGACCCTAGGAGCAAATTCTTTAACAGGATCCTTTAGTGCTCTGGCTCCAGGAATATGAAAGGTATTTTAAGAAATAAGGTGCTGTGGCCGGGCGCAGTGGCTCACGCCTGTAATCCCAGCTCTTTGGTAGGCCAAGGTGGGCGGATCACGAGGTTAGGAGATCAAGACCATCCTGGCTAATAAGGTGAAACCCCGTCTCTACTAAAAATATAAAAAATTAGCCGGGCGAGGTGGCAGGCGCCTGTAGTCCCAGCTACTTGGGAGGCTGAGGCAGGAGAATGGGGTGAACCCCGGAGGCGGAGCTTGCAGTGAGCCAAGATCGCGCCATTCCATTCCAGCCTGGGCGACAGAGTGAGACTCCATCTCCAAAAAAAAACAAAACAAGAAATAAGGTGCTGTGCCTGTGGATACATTTTTCCTCCAAATGTGTAAACAGAGGCTTTCATTCCAGATAAGCCCATAAATGTTGATGTTGATCACAAACCTAAATGAAGTGTTCAGACACAGCCATAAAGCCTCTGGATCCAATTTGCACATCAGGAGAATACACTGTAAGGTACCTGGAGGCTCTAAGCAGGTGCCAGGAGGTAGCCTTGCAAATAGATGGAAGTCCAGAGCTAGGTGTGTGCCAAGAGCTGTCAGGTGAGAGTGAAGAAGGCTGGCTCTAGAAGCAGAACCACCCTGCTTCATGCAGAGGCAGGAGTGGGATGGGGGGGAAGCAAACCAGGCACGGAACTGAGCTGGAAGGTCTGCAGTGGCTCTTGGCTCTCAGGATGTTGGTCCTGCTGGCTGACACAGAAAGGTATCCTCAGCATGCTGCTTGGTAAAGACAGCACATTAGTGGACAGTATATCTTTTACGAGAGCAGGATGCCATTTATGTTGATGAGAAAGTGTGTGTGTGTGTGTGTATTTCTAACCATTCATAAAGAAGGTGTAGAGGGCTATATATAGCAAAATGTTAATAATGGCTATGATTGGATGGATAAATTATATGCAATGTGAAAGGGGGTATTATTTTTCTATATTTTCTGAGTTAATGATCTTGTATTGAATTAAGACCTCTCCTTCATCTCAGGTCAATCATCTGCTCTTCAGAAAAGCATTTGATGACCTTCATGCTTATGACAGATCCCCTTATTCATGTTCACCTAAATCTAGTTATCTCTCTTTCATCATAGCACATGCTAGAGTTATACATTTACTACAATCTTCTGTTTGTTTGGTATTTTTTAGAGACAGGGTCTCCCTCTGTTGCCCAGGCTGGGGTGCAGCAGTACAAACATAGCTCACTGCAGCCTTGAACTTCTGGGATGGAGCAATCCTCTTGCCTCAGCCTCCTGAGTAGCTGGGACTACAGGTGTGTGCCACCACGCCCAGTTAATTTCTTTTTTTTTTTTTTTAAGACATGGGGACTTGCTCTGTTGCCCAGGCTGGTCTTGAACAGCTGGCCTCAAGCCATCCTCCTGCTTAGCTTCCAAAAGCGTTGGGATTACAAGCATGAGCCACTATACCTGGTCTATAGTCTTTTATTCAGTGTATGCCTCCCTCAGGAAACTTGGTGCTCCATAAGGACAGGAACCATGGTGGGTATAGTTTCGCTTTGTTTTGGTGGACAACTTTGTTCCCAGCACCTAATAATAGTAAAGATGAAGGTAACAGTAATGAGATCAACAGCAGAGCAGCAGGAGCAGAAATGGCAGCAGTGGCAGCTAACACTTGCTTAGTACCTGCTAGGTGTCAGACCCCAAGGACTTCGTTATGAGGTCAGTATGGTCAACAGCCCCATTTTCCTGAAGGGGAAACCACAGCACAGAAAGACTGTGTACCCAGCACAACCTCACACAGTTATCAACCCGGGCAGTTGGACTCTCGAATCCATGCTTGCGACTGTGATGCTACACTGCCCTTTTACCCAGCACTTAACTTCACACACAGAGGCACCTCATAAATATGTATTAAATAAAAGATTGATCACACATTCCTTTTTACAATCCTGAAAAAGTCATCTCCGTGTTTGGATGAGGGGAAATACAAAATCACTCCTCTGGGAATGAGGCAGCAGAATGAAAGAGGTCGTTCTGAAAAAACAGAGTTTTCTGGAAAGAAGTGTTCTTTTTCAGACAGCAGTGCTTGACTCTGAAGAAAAATGCCCCATACATGGTTCACACAAGTCCTAATGTTTTTAATTTTTCTGAATGCAGAAGGGCGTAGGGAATGATGGGGTTCAGTGGCATTCTCTTTAGACATTCTACAGCCGGGACTCTGGGCTCAAGTTTCTATAACTTGATAAAGTCAAGAGTTGTGGTTCCTTTTAAATGACCAATGAAAGTGAAGCAATCTCTCATTTGAAACCTTCCCAAGCTCACAGTAAGAGAGCCAGGTCCTAGAGAATGGATAGGGAGCTACCACCAGGGTTAAGATATGCCAAGAGCCTTGTATGTCGCATGAGGGATTTGGGTAAAACCATGTAGGCATTACTGATCCCTCCCTCAAAAAAGCAGGCAGAAGTGGTTATATTTGCATGGACTTAGCAGAACATGACTGTATGCAGAGCTGAAGAGCCCCACGTGCATTGTTAGCTAGAAATATTTAACGGATTAGGACTGCGTGTACCAGCAGACAGACCTGATTTAAGTTTTTCACATGATATGAATTCTCCAGGGTAAAACCCAACATGCTGGCATCATTCCAGGTTAAAGCAGGAGATAAAACTGGAAGAATTCAGACTGCTCCATTCATTTCAAACCCAGAAAGCGAGGCTCTCCTTATAGCTTATTGTTTCAGGATTAGCGTATGTAATGTTAGTGCCACACTGAATACCGATGAGATGGGGCCTCACTTCATTAAGCATTTGATATGTTTAAACTGCTACCCCATTTCAAAGCCTATGGAAATCATCGCACACTGACAACTTGTCCTACAAACGGAATGCAAAAGCGTGACTTCACGGGCTGCAGGTGAGCTTTCTCTCTTTCTCTCTCACCTTCTAGTCATTTTTAAATGTGGAGGAAAAAAGTGTGCTTTTTCCAACTCCCTTGTGTCTTAGAGTAAGAAAAGAACACATTTTCTACCATTTCCACCATTTTCTGGCTCATGCCAAAGATATTAGATAACTCAGTAAAGCCAGATGTATCCTATTCCTGCCAGAGCTCAGAAACAGACCCAGCTACTAGGCAGCTGTGAAATAGAGCAGCAGTCTGTCAGGATTTAATTAGGCCAGCTTTTTGGATGGGGTATGCTTTTTTTTTTTTTTGTCTTTTGGGGTAGGCATTTTGGCAAAAAGTTGGGATGGGCTGACTGTGGCTTAGTATGTCCTTGAATCAGGTGATGCTTGACTGATGGGAGGTAGCAGGGGGTAACTTCCCTTTCTTTACGTGCAGATGCTAAACACAAGTAAATATAGACCCAGAGGTATCTGAATTTTATGCACATATGGGGAATTAACAGTGGCATGTCTCTGGCTCTCCTGTCTTTCCTGCTTCAATGCCAAATTCACCATGTCACTGCTGGGTCAAGTGTCTTGGGTGACTGAGGAGGGGAGCCACAGAGGGATTTAGAATATATTTTTCCTTAAGAACAGTGACTCAAAGTCAGGCCATGAACAAATATACACAGGCACAAGTCTGATGCATCGAAGGGCTGTTTTGCAGCCCTTTAGTCTGGCTTTTAGAATTATGAGTCCTTTCTCCCTATTTTAAAATGTTCAATTCCTATTCAGCTGTTCTTTCTATACTCTGAGCCTTAATCATGAAAAGCTACTTGAATGTTCAAAAGGAATTAGACGGTGGGACTTCAGGGGCCAACAACAGAGAATCAGTTGGAACAACATAAATGGCCAATAACAGGGGATGAGCTGGACCCTGCACAATGTTATAAACAGTGGTTAGGTGTAACTAGAATGGTGGTGTTCACAGTGTGCTTCTGGTCCATAAGAAATAGGTTTTCATGGACTTATGTGCAATGCCAACATAGTACGATGCTTCTATGCTTCTAGAAAAATGCACAACTTTCCCTGCTGGCTCAACATCTTCCTCATCCTACCACTATTCATCCTAAATACTCCTACTGTTACTACTAATGATGGTAATGATGATGATGAAGATGATGATAGCAGCCGTGGCTAACATTTACCAAGGGCTTTCTAGAAGCTGATGTCTTTATGAAATGTTCTATATGGATTACCAACCTCATTTCCTCTTTTAAAAAGCTCTATAACAGAAGTATGGTCCTCACTCCCACTTTGCACATGGTAAGACTGAGGTACAGAGAGGTTTAGGAACTTTCCCAAGGTTGATTGGAAGAAATGCAAGCCCAGTGATGAGCTGTCTGACTCCAGAGCCCATTCTGTTAATTATTTTAGACTACTGCCTTCTCCGCCTAATTGTCAGGTCTGAACAGGCAGGGACCACATCTGTCTTAGTATCACCGTATTGTTGTAAATAAAATTGTGCTTGACACACAGCAAATCTCCACAAATCTAGTATTGTGGACTGAATGAATGAGTCAAGGATGACAGAGTTTTAGAGAACTGGGAATCCCTGAACATTGCTTATTTTTTCAGATGGGACAAAGCTATTGTCTTCATTGTGTCCTTACTGGTAGGGGTATGGTTGAGTTCTAAGACAAGTGGATTCACACTGGGTTTCTGGCAGAGATTGTGAATTACAGTTGGGCAACCATGAACCCATGGAGAATAGGACTGTATCTAATCACCAAGACTCCAAGTCCTGGGAGTAAACCATATGCCCAGTGGTGGCACCAGGCTTGCCAACAGACATCTCCACACAGGAAACCTGAGATAGGACCTGGAGGATATGGTGGTCACTAGGTGGTTGAAAATGTTCCTGAATTTCTCTCCTTCCAGATACACAATAGGATTACACTTCCCTGGCCCCTTAGAAGTTCTGATCTGGCTAGGTGATGGGCTTTGGCCAGTGAAATGTGAGTGGCCTAGCTCCCTGGGTAACTAAGATGAGAGACGCCTGCCCTACTAATCCATCATGGACCTACAAAGCAAGTGGGAAACAAACCTCTATTGTTTGAAACTGCTGAGACTTGGGCCTGTAAGTTACCAAAGCACCACCTAGCATATACCAACTCAGGGGGCTAAGGTACACAGACAAAACATCCGGGCCCTGCACCTAAGGAGCCTGTATTCTGGCAAAGCAAAAAACCATGCACAAATGAAACAACAAGGGGAAGGGAACTGTAATATGTAAGCAGCTAAATGCCAGATGTGATACTAAGAACTTTATGTAATAATAATCTCATGTGTTATCTCACCTCTCAATGTCCCCATTTGTAAACTGGGAATAATGACAGTATTCCCAGTTTATAAATTCCTATTTGGTGAGAACATTGAGAAGTAAAATAACATTCCCAAGATGTCTCAGCTAGTAAGTGGCAGAGCTAAGATCTGAATCCAAATCTGTCAGACCTCCAAAGCCTCAAGCCCTTTCCACTACACTCGGTGGCTTTTCAGGACAAGGAAATTTACTCAAAGCTGCATGAGACCAGTGCTGGCTATAGCCCCAAAGGCTGCTAAGACAAGGCATAAAGGAATGAGGAGGGTAAAGGTGTCAGGGCGAATTTTTGAAAGAAGTGGGTTTCATTTCAAATCAATTATTAAAACTAAGTGGTGCTCTTAACAGGAGAGCTGGGAGGGGCATGCGACAACATCTAGCACACAGAGGCAGTAGGCACAAAGGTAGATGAGGAATAAGGTGACTGGCTGGACAGAAAAGATGCAAAGCACACATCTCAGCGTGCAAAGCTTTAAATAACAGGCTGGGGTGTTTCGATCTTCTAACCGCAGTGGGCTCCTCAGCAGGTGTGGGAAGTGATAAAAGCCGTGTTGATGTAAAATTGTTCTGGCGACTGTATGCAGGATGAGCTACAGCAGAAAGAGGGAGAGAGACTCAGGGTGGCCAGATAAGCTATTTTGGTGGCCAGACAAAAGGAAAGTAGGCCTGAATTAGGAGAGAAGCTGTGGAAAGGAAAAGGCAGGAAAGTAATAATCACCTTCATGAATTGAGCTCTCACTAGTTGCCATATTTTGGGCTAAGCAATTTGTATACATTGGCTCACAGAATGTTCCCAACACTCTCGAGGATGCAGCATTACCCCCATTTTACAGATGAGGAAACTGGGGCTCGGAGAGATTCCGTGATTTTCCCACAATGATACAGCAAATATAATACTGAGTTAATAGCTAATGTATGATAGGTGCTAAAAGCATATCCTAGGTCTTCTTTAATGTTACAACATAGACACTACTATTATTCCCATTTTACAGAAGAGAAAATGGAGGATCAGGGAAGTGAAGTAACTTCCTCTGAGTTGCACCCAGCTAGTAAGTAGCAAGGTCCAGATTTGAACTCCGTTGAGTTTGGCTCCAAAGTCCATGCTCTGAATTGCTATACTCACGAGCATGTGCATTTGGCCCCTGAGGCTTTGGCTGGTTTGGCCGGGGAGCAAGTGGCAAGATCTCATCTCAGGAAAGGAGTCTCCATCATTCACCCTAAAAGGTTCCAGGGAGACAACTCCGGTAACACATTCTGCATTTGGAGTTTGTAATGGAAGGTGTCACAATTCATGCCCTGGACCTAATCCAGGTTGCCTAGGAGTGTGAGAGAAAAAGAGAATGAATTCTTATCCTGCACATATGCCAGATATATGCATGTGGCTTTGCTTTGAAGAGCAGGGCAGCATTATAACTTACCCCACAAAGCGGCCTTGTGATGCTTTGTGTGTGACCCAAACCCATTTAGATGGCACTTCTGCCTTCTCCTCTAGTTTGTGGTAGACCAAAATGCTCAGAATTGGGTTTTTCAAAAAACCACTCATCCTGCAGTTACCTGCAGAGAAAAAAGTCAGGTCACAGGCTTCTGAAATGTTCCCACAGCATCTGTGCTTCCATCATTAAGGTGGATCCAAGATTGGGAGACAAGTGGGGGTGCAGTGGTCTTCTGCATGCCCAGATCATCTGTTGCGAGGCTAGAGATGCTTGAAAGAGGTTTTTGTTTGATAGCTCACGTTTAAAGTGCAAGTACTGTCACAGACCAATTGTTCCTACCAGCGCATTCTTGAAATTCCACTTTTATTTCTATCAAAGTAACATGTGCACACAATTTAAAGAGTCAAATAGTTGTAAGAGGCTTGATAAAAGCGATCGCATTCTTTGACCCTCATCTTCCAGAAGTAGTCATTTTCTACTATTTTGGTTAGCTCTTTTGAAAGCTTACTGCCTTATCTCTAAATAGCATGCTTGTATGCTACTTTGTGATTCTTTAGTTTGAGGAATTATCTATTGTCTTCCCACTCTAAAAGGTGAGGATTTAGTTCTAGTTTATTACCATCTCTGCCACTGCCACACATATGCCCATTTTCAAGCCCCTTAGTTAGACAGTAATTACAGATAATCACTGTTTTTATTATCTTGATCAAGAAAATGCTACAGATGAACAACACAGGTATACTATGATTTGAACACTTTTCTTCCTGGGAAAACAAAAGTTTCCCCCTCCCCATTTGTTTAGCATTCCATATATTTCTCAATAATTCAAACACAAAGTCTTTCCCAGATTCATAAATCTCTTCTCAACGAATTCAAATACATTAAGTATTCTATCAATTTCTTCTTTGTGCGTGCGTGCGTGCGTGTGTGTGTGTGTGTGTGTGTGTATATATATATATATATATATATAGAGAGAGAGAGAGAGAGAGAGAGAGAGAGAGAGAGAGACAGGGTCTTGCTCTGTCACCCAGGCTAGAGTGCAGTGGCGCGCTCATAGCTCACCACAGCCTCAAACTCCTGGGTTCAAGCAATCCTCCAATCTCAGCCTCTGGAGTAGCTGGGATTGTAAGCGAGCACCACCACGCCCAGCTATAATAATTTTTAATTTTTCTGTAGATATGGGGTCTCAGTATGTTGTTCAGGCTGGTCTTGTATTCCTGGCATCAAGTGATCCTCTTTCCTCAGCCTCCCAAAGTGTTGGGATTACAGGCCTGAGTGAGCCACCATACTACTTGGCCTATCAAGTTCTTCCTATAGAAATCTCTCCCCACACCTTCGGATCCACCACTGTCTGGACAAAGGGCTCCCAGGCCTGATACACAGCCGCCACCCTGTGATGGCCCTTCAGTGTCATTCCAGAGGCTCCTTTTCACTCTCTAAGGTTGGATCCCCAATTTCCCATATCCTGTGTCTTTCTTTTTCTTGGTTTACTCCCTTGGTTTTGGTAGACCGTATTTATTAGCAGCTTCTTGAAAGGACTGTATGAGACTAACTTTTTAATCATTTCTGAAAATGTCTTTATAGTACAGAACTTGAGTTGAAACGATTTGTTTCAGAACTGTCTTCTCATGTCCAATGTTATTGAGAAGACTGACACCATTTTGATTCTTGAACCTTTGTAAAAACACTTACTTTCATTTATGTATTTATTTTTGTAATGCCCTCTCTAGAAACTTGTAGGATCTTCTTTTTGCCCAATGTTCTGAAATTTCATAATGATGTGTTTGGTGTGGTTTACTGTCATTCACCAATCTGAGCATTAGGTGGGCTCTTTTCTGTCTGAAAACCACTGTTCTTTGGTTCAGGGAGCATTTTCTTCAATTTCTCATTTTTTTTCTCTCTTCTCTCTAGAATTCCTACGATTTGGATATATATCTCCTAACCCGGTCTTCAGTTTTTCTTATTTTCAATTTCCTTGTGTTTTTCTACCTTCTGGGATATACCTTCAAATTTATGACCTAACTTTTTCCATTATTATGTTTTTTTAGAGACAAGGTCTCACTCTGTTGCCCAGGCTGGAATGCAGTGGTGCAATCATAACTCACGGCAGACTTTAACTCCTGGGATCAAGCAATCCTCCCACCTCAGCCAACTGAGTAGCTAGGACTACAGGCATGTGCCGCCACACCCAACTAATATATTTTTTAAATTGTTTGTGAAGATGGGGTCTCACTATGTTGCCCACACTAGTCTTGATTTCCTGACCTTAAACAATCCCAACTTTTTCAAGTTAAATTTCTATGAGTCCTTTCCTGTTTAGTCCTTTAAAAGAGGGGAGGCATCTTATTTTTATTTCAAGGATTCTGTATCTTCAGTCATCTTTTAGGTTTTTCTGTTTTAAGTTTCCTTCTCTTGATATAGCCTGTTTCCCTCCAAAATGCTTTTCTCCTCTTTCTCCTCCTCCTCCCCTCCCCCCTCCCCCTAGATGTGTGAGTGTTCTGTCTTTCATATTCAAGGTTTCTGTCAAGTGTCAAATGTCTGGTGATCCTTGGCTGACACTCATTTTTAAGTGTGGGACACTAAAAAGCTATGTGGCACATATACACCATGGAATACTATGCAGCCATAAAAAAGGATGAGTTCATGTCCTTTGTAGGGACATGGATGAAGCTGGAAGTCATCATTCTCAGCAAACTATCGCAAGAACAAAAAACCAAACACCACATGTTCTCACTCATAGGTGGGAACTGAACAATGAGAACATTTGGACACAGGAAATGGAACATCACACAGTGGGGCCTGTTGTGGGGTGGGGGAAGGGGGGAGGGAAAGCATTAGGAGATATACCTAATGTAAATGACGAGTTAATGGGTGCAGCACACCAACATGGCACATGTATACATATGTAACAAACCTGCATGTTGTGCACATGTACCCTAGAACTTAAAGTATAATAATAATAAAAAAAAAGTAAATTCGTGGTTACGTAGGCCTAGGGTGTAGATGGGGGTGCAGGGGGTGATAGCTAAAGGACAAGGGTTTTTTTTTTCTTCTTCATTTTTTGAGATGGAGTCTCGCTCTGTCACCCAAGCTGGAGTGCAGTGGCACAATCTCGGCTCACTGCAACCTCCGCCTCTCGGGTTCAAGCAATTCTCCTGCCTCAGCCTCTCATGTAGCTGGGATCACATGTGTGCCACCACGCCCAGCTAATTTTTGTATTTTTAGTAGAGACGGGGTTTCACCATGTTGGCCAGGCTGGTCTTGAACTCCTCACCTCAAGTGATTCACTCACCTCAGCCTCCCAAAGTGTTGGGATTACAGGTGTGAGCCACTGCATCCAGCCTAGGGGTTTTCTTTTTGAGGTGATAAAAATGTTCTGAAGTTTATAGTGATGATGCTTGCAAATTCTGCAAGTAGACAATGCAGTGATGGTTGCAAATTCTATAAATATGTTTAATGTGATGATGGTTGCAAATTCTATGAAAAACCCAAATTGTACAATTTCAATGAGTGAAAGCATGCTATGTGAATGTCTTAATAAAGCTTTTATTTTAAAAAATGGAAAAAAAAAAAAAGCTCTTGGTTGTGGGCTTCACCATTAGATGATTCAGTTGCGCCACTTCATTGACATCCAATCTCTTAAACTGGTGAGTTTTCCCAAAGAAGACTTTTATAAACTCCTGCTTAGAAGGAATATGAGCCTGGCTGGCTGTGTTCTGGGACCTGACTTGAGGAAAAGGGCTAGTAGTTTCAATGTTCATTATGTTGACTTATGCTAAATCCCTGTTTTCAGAAACGGACCCCCATTCTCAGCTGTGCTTCATATCTGGTATTCCAGAGACCTGTTCTACCCTCAGCAGAGAGTAAGCTCCAGTCTTCTGCCTGGGTGTGAGAGGGGCAGTCGCTAGGCTGTGTAGCATAGGGAAGGAATATGAAAGTGTCATAGCTTCCTAACGAAATTTCAACTAATCTTCCCATTTTTAGCCCATCTCTTCTGTTTCCAGAGTTATCTCAAGTTGCCAATTCCCAGGCCTTCTGGAAGTATATCTGGTTGCCTCTTGGTTCTCCTGAGTGCCAGCTTAGAATTCCATTTTCTGAGTTCACTAATCCAGTCATAGCTCACCCATTTGTTCTCCAGCTTCCACAATTTTTTTTTTTTTTTTTTTTTTTTTTTTGCTGGTTTTCCTCTCCTTTTCTTTGTCCCTGTGGATTTACCCTTTAAAAAACCATTCTTTTAGAGGAAGGAAACAGAGGTAAATGTGAGTATTCAAGTTACCACTTTAAACTACAAGTTTTGAAGGTAGGTAGTCATATCATTTACTCCCCTCAACTATTGAAGGCACCTGGACTTCCCAGGTAAGTGATACTAATGGAATTCTGCGTGCCCTGTGCTGCGGTGACCAATCTCTTCTCGATGTGGTGCACTTTTCAACATAGAAAGCATGCTGGGTCAATAGTAAGAAAATAGGGGTTAATTCTAGCTCTGATTCCTACTCATCGTTATCCTTGGTATCATTTGTAGTCTCAGGATAAAAACCACCAACCTATGTACTTTCAGGGTTCTTAGTAGGATCAAACAGGATAATGACTGTGAAAGCACTTCAAAAAGCACAAAGTACTACAGAAACACAAGGCTTTGCTATTACTTAAAAACCTCACTTTCATCTCTTGAAATTCAATCTAACGTTATCTTGGCCTGTCTTCAGGAGACAGAGGCTTGTCTCCAGTAATCATATAAATCATCCTTGTGGCATTCAAAAGAAATGTCCTGTAGTCACACAGACATATGACTTGGGATAGTGTTTCTCACCCTACCAACACTGTCCTTGTTGCTAAAACCAGCCGGTACCACAGCATCTAAAACAAACACACCCAGAATCCAAGATTTTATTGCGGAGAAGGGATAAGTCAGATGAAACTCTTTTGGGGGAGTCCATTTCACAATGTGTCTGCTTCTCAGCTGAGCTGTATGTCCACCTTGACTAAAGTTAGAAATACGGAAAAAAGAGTGGTTAATATATCCAAACAGTGGATATATGATAGCCACTGAAAAAGAATGGGGTGGCAGTGCTCTATGTAGTGCCATGAAAGATGTTTTGTAGGATTCCGTTCCTATAATAAAACAACATAACCCTATATATGTGTAGGTATTTTTCTATCTACACATCTATATATTTGTATTATATAGGCACATAGATACACGACATGCATATATAGAAAAGTCTGGTTGCATTTTCACCAAATCATGCTGGTCACTTCTGGGGAACTGAAAACAACTTTTGCTTTTTACTTTATATAGTTCTAAGCAGTTTGCTCTTTCTCATAATATGCATAGGTTACTTCTGATCATAAAAAAGGAAAGACTAAATGTAAATTAAAAGAGTAAAAAAAACCCTAGGATCTGAGAAAAGAAGTAAAGGTAATAGGAAGCCAAGGAAAGATGGATATAGGAGAAGAGGCTAAGAAAGGGGCCAGAATTAGCAGGAGTTGGGGGCAGGTCACACACATCTGCTAGAGACGTGCAAGCAGGTGTATCTCCTCCCAGCTGGTAATCACAAATGGATCCCCTGTGGGCCATGGCAACCACCTGCACATTTATGCAAGCTCCACTATCAACTTAAGGGGAGGAATAACTCATTTTTTAAAAACTGTGTAATTTCCATACAGCAAAATGCACACATCTTGAGTATACAGGCTATGACTTCTGAAAAATGCATATGCCCACGTAACCCACAGGGGGGCTCATTTTAAACAAAATCTCATAGCCATATGCAAGTGCATGAATCTGTAGGAGATGAGCTCACTCAGCCACGATCAGTCACAGGAATAGGTGGTGAGTATGGGATTCATACCCCATCCGTCTCACTAATTCTGAATCTGGACCTGCCTGGTAGTGCTATCTAGTCTTCTGACTGCATTTCCCAGAGATCTCCTGATTCCTTGTACTCCTAATTTGGGTTTCTCCTAGCTCAGTAACTCACATGTCTCTTGGCAATGAACATGGTAACCCTAGACCACACATGCAATCAGTCTGGCAAGAATGTACTGGCCTGAAAAGATTTTTGGATGTGGACCAACTCTCTCAAATAAGCCAGCTACCATTGTCAATTTCCCCTTTCAAAATGGGAGCTGTTAGCTCCTGTGACTCACTGCAAGAGAAGACTATTTTATAGACATTGCCGGCAACTGCATATACCGTAGTTTCTCTGGGCTAGCATAATAACCATGATATCTCATATTTACTGAGTGCTTATTACATGTCAAGCATTATACTCTAAGTACCTTACATGATTGATCTGTATAACACCACCATGAGATAGGTACCACCATTATTTCCACTTCATAGATGGGGAACTCAGGCACAGAGATGTGAGTAACTTGCTCGAGGTCATAGAATTAAAAAGTGATAGTGTGAGGAATGGGAACCCAGGCAGTTGGTGACTCCAGGGTCTGTTTTTATCTGCAAGGCTATACTACACTTTCTCTCATTCAGGGAAGGACAGGCAGACCAGGGTTTTAAAGTGTCACCTCCTGTCTCCCTGGCTAGAGCTTTCTTTGCCTCTGTGGCCTCTAATATATAAAAATGTCAAGTCCATCTTTCTTCTAAAAAGAGGTAAATATACAGTCATCTCTAGGTATTGCTAGGGTCACAAAGGCGTCTCTTAGCTCTGTCTAGACATAAAGCCAACAGAGCATAATGCATAACAGTGCTTTATAGCCAGAGGTTTTTATCTTGTTATTTCTTCTCTGAGGAGTTGGCTGATAAATCAGACTTCACCAGTAGAGAAGAATGTGTGTTTTCAAGGGTGACTTTCAGAAGCAGAGTGAAGGGAGAGCAATAATGTGGTAAAGAGAGGCATCCTTCAGAACCAGTGGCAATCTCACCTCGAGAGGCCAATTAATCCATGTGAGGGAATAATGAACTCGACAGTGAGGGAGCCCAGGTACAGGCTATCTCCCCACTTTTCAATGACAGACACTGGAGCACTCTTTCCAGCTCTCATTTATCAGTCTCAGTGGTGAACACAAGCCATCTTGTGCCACTGCATTCCTCAAACTGCATTTATTGTCTAGAGGCACATGGTGATCGTGACAGGGAAGACTAGCCCAAGTTCATCTGAACAGCTGTGGTTCCTATACCCTAAATTCTCAGCATCTAAAGATTTTTACCTTTTATGGAATCCCCTTTGTCTCCTTCTAAAAGTACTATTTGATCTTTTTATTGCATTAAAGTTACTGGTGCTTTAAGACTTGGTCCATCTCATTTGAGATACCTGGAAACACTCTAGGGAGAACAAAGGTGAAAGATCTGGGCAAAGGTCAGTAAAATATTCTACCCAACTACAGGCCAGAGGACAGCTTCAGTTTTGTCTCTCCAACATCATGGGCTGGAATAAACAGAGGAATGGTTCTATAATTCTAGCGCAGAGACTTCCAGTTCTAGTAATATGGCGAGCTATATATGCAAACCATCTCCCCTACTGGGGAAAAAACCTAATTCTAGAGTAAAATATATTTTTTAAGATTCTTAATATCATCAAAAAAGTAAAAAAAAGGAAAAGGTAAGCATCTGGAAAATTGAGGCAAATTTTCTTCCAAGGGCAATGGTGAGCTAGACCAACTTGAGTTTCAGTTTTGCCAAAAATTGAGAGGAACATTAAGTCAAGATCCAGGGCCAAAGTGGAGAGTCTAAAGGAGACCCTCTGTTATGCTTGGACTCCAAAGTGCTAATTTTTAAGGTGAGGATGAGCCAGAAATAAACCTTCTCCAGATCAGAGGACTGTGGAGAAGGCTGTCTTTGCAACAAATTCAACAAGGGAGATGTGGAAGGATTTATTCACCATGGATGGCCTTCTCATGGATTGTATACCTTGGCCTTGCATTACTCAGATGGTCCAGGGAACCTCAAAAACTTGGTTTGAAATGGTCCTGAACTGGTAGTACTCCTAGGAACCTGTCAGAAGCCAACCTAAATCTCTCTGGAGAAAGGCATCTTTTATCACAGTCTTCAATGAATTTCCAAAAATAATTTTTCAAAGACAATGAGTAATATACAGTCAAAAATACTAAGTACTGGAGGATCCAGGATACCATGAGTAGACCAGTAAAAACAGCAGATATCAGAAATAGACATGTAAAGACTTCAGATATTAAAATTATCAGACCTAATCATAAACATATTACTAAATTTCATGAACATATTAGTAAATTATTAAGAAATAAAAGCAAAGCTTGAATATGTCCATCTGCAGGGAAGAGTAAACTATTAAAAAATGATGGAAGACTGGACACAGTGGCTCACATTTGCAATCCCAGCACTTTGGGAGGCCAAGGTGGGTGGATCACCTGAGCTCGGGAGTTTGAGACCAGACTGACCAACATGGAGAAACCCTGTCTCTATTAAAAATACAAAATTAGCTGGGTGTGGTAGCGCATGCCTGTAATCCCAGCTACTCGGGAGGCTGAGGCAGGAGAATCACTTGAACCCGGAAGGTGGAGGTTGCGGTGAGCCGAGATGTGCCACTGCATTCCAGGCTGGGCAACAAGAGCGAAACTCCATCTCGGGAAAAAAAAAAAAAAAAAGATGAAATATATTTGGAAAAAGAACCAAATAGAACATCTAGAAGTGAAAAATACTGTAGCTAAAATTAAAAACTCAATGGACCCACTTAACCGTAGATTAGACACAGATGAAAAAAGAATAAATGAACTGAATGATAGCTCAAGAAGAATTATTCAGAACGCAGCAGAAAGAGACACAAAAAGAGAAAATATGGACGAGAGGTTAACAGATATGGATTGAGGTGATCTAAAGGAAATTCAAATTATGGTGCAGAATCACCTTTGGAGCTTATTAAAACATGGATTCTGGGGCTCTAATACCACTCTTTTGATTCTTCAGACTAGGTTGAGTCCCAGGAACATGCAATATTAGCAGGTGTGGTGTCCATCTATACTTTGAGAAGTATTAGAGTAGTGACATCTAGGTGGTAAAGTTCAGAAGTTAATTTTTTCTTCTTGTCCAAACTAGACTAAGTTTTTCACCCTTCACTGACTGCAACCTTTTCATCCAGCATAGCTGGACAGAGTGTGCAATATTTCTCCACGTAATATGGTCAACATGTTTTACTTTAATCCAATAGAGGTTTAGATAGGAAAATCAAAACATATTTTGAAAACCAGTATTTCTAACTTTCCAAAGCAAAAAATCTTTTACAAAGCAAGTAATCACACCCTAGTTCTGCTTTGAGTAGGTTGAAATTTATTACCTTTGCTTAAATTAAGGTTTGTAAAAGTACATGCTGCTTTTCTTTCATTCACACCAGCTTGTGAAGTGTCTCCCAAAAGTTAACTAACACCGTGTGTCTAGGGCTGGATCACTTAAGCTCTCTGGGTCTCCCACCTTCCCACCATCCCACCGTCTACGTCCCACCATCTACAGTGCCTGGGACCCTGTAAGTACTCAAAAACTAGAAGCCATTATTCATAAATGATAAATTCAATTTTGTATTGTGGTCCCAACTGGATAGGCCCCCTTCTTGTTTCCTCATCCCTTTAAATTCCTTGTGCTTCTTCAAAGACAACAACTTCTTGACACAACTGTCTTAGCCTAGCTCCTTGGTTTAATGCTTAATATCAGGCTCTGCATGTGTTTAACAAAAACCAAAAGCTTGCATTATTAAACTGAGACACACAGCCCCCAGTCATTCCAGGAATGCCTTCCCAAAGACACAGAAGACAATAGATGAAGGGGGATGTCTGTGGTTTGTCATCATGGTCTTCTCTGCAGAACGGTAGCATGCACTATTAGGGGTCTGCAAGAGCTTCAACAGGGAACTGAAGGTGAGTGGCAACATTCCACAATCCCTACTCCAGGGGAAGTGAACAAGGGGCTTGTGGAACTTCAGATACCAAGAGGAGGAGCAAATCTCCTAGGCCTGCAAATGCTCTAATAAGCAGCCAACGTTGCCAAGATTGGAGCCCACTCACTCCCTGTCTTCTTGAAGGGGAAATCAAATGAGGAGAGAAAAAAAATAGTTTGTTGAAATGATGCCAAAATTTTGAGCCAAGAGGACCGAATTCTGAAGGTCACTCAAAGGTACTGTACTTCTACCTATATTTCTCTACTTTCTAAGTCTCTATACTACCTTTCTTTTTTTTTGCGGGGGCAGGTGGAGGGGAGAGTGGTCTTCTTGCTCTGACAAACCTATATACCTCTTGGTGATAAGCACTATGTAGTTTCAAGCCTCATATATTCTATCTGGAAAGGACTGATTCACAAACAACCTCACACCCTGGACACAATTCCATCCTGGGGATCATTTCCAAGCAAGAGGAATGCGGAGTCACCTCCTATTTAAAGCTGATCAATTTCTTTACCTTCATTCTCCTCACTTCAATGATTTGTTACTGGCTACTTCCACCACTCCTGTCTAGATAAGCTCCTCCTTTCTGTTATCTGCAGGCTCAGATCAGTGTCAAGGCCAAAGTCAGAGAGGGAGGGAAGGCACAATAAGATGCTTCCTAGCAGCTAAGGTCACTCAGTCTGACTTTTTATTTCTGATGCTTTGGGTCAATTGTGAGATAAGGATGTGCATATGTGTATTACAGAGAGAGAAACAGTGAGAGAGAGAAAGTGTGAGAGACAGAGACAGAAACAGAGAGAGAGAGGAGACGGTTGACAACTGACTTCCATCCTCTCATCCCCACTCAGGGCCTTCTAACTAACAATTTAATGACACTTACATTTTCAAAATGTTATCCAACCATTAGTAATTGAGGACCTTTTCAGAAACAATGTTGGGCTGCCTTCTCAGGAGAGAAGGAAAGCTGTAATTAGAAATACGGCAGTGTATTCAAAGAGGCCACATTTAATTAGTCGATTTTAATTTAATTTAGGTAGGGTCTATATAAGACAGCTCATATCCAACCCCACAGCAGGAGATGCCAGAGGCGTTTCGGAGGCTCCATGTGAAAACCTAGGGTGCTTGTTCCCAGGGACGGTCTGGACTTTGGAGTCTGAAGGCCTAAGCTTGAGCCCCTGCCCTCAGGAGCTTGGCCTTGGAAAAGACACTTCACCTGACTCTGTTTCCTCATCTGCAAAATGTGGATAATAAAGCTACCTACATTTCAAAGGCTGATAACAGGATTACTGGGAGGTGATGCTTATCCAGCACTTAATTAGCTCAGGGCTCAGGACACAGTAATTTGTGGAAAAATAGCTGCAAAAAGACAGAGAACAATAAGCAGGGGTAGTGAGGAAGGCTTATTTTTTCACCTTAGTCCTGTAATTCTTAGATTTTTTTTTTTTTTTTTACCATGTGTAGGTATTACTTTTGTAATGAAAGCTAACTAGTTATTTTAAAGACTAGCCAGAGTTTTGAAGTGGTGCCAGCAGTTAATACATTTTATTGGGAGAGGTCAGCATCTGATCGTTAAAAAGTTAACATTGAGCCACACACGGGGACAAGAGTCACCAATCTCTGCCCGAGATCAGCTACCCAAGGCCACACTGAATTTCAGGAGGTAATATATCCCTAGCTGAGTTCCTGATGTGTTCTTTCTGCAATGTGTGCCCCTGCCCCATCTCTGTTACTGGTAGCTCCGTCCTTCCATTTCTTTAGGCCAAAAACCTTGGTGCCATCCTTAGCGATTCTCTCACACTCTACATCAAATCCACAAGCAATTCCAATGGTCTCTACTTTCCAAGCATGGCCCGCACTGACCGTTCTTACCACACCAATTGGCACACGCTGGCCTTGGCCACCATCCGCACCCCACCCCCAACCCCCACCTACCCCTTATTACAGCCAGAGTCTCCCATCTGCTTCCTCATGTCCACCACTACCCTCTGCAGTCTATTCTCAACACAGCAGCCAGATGATCCTGTCAAAATATGAGCCACATGAGGGTACTCCTCCACTCAAAACTGTCCATGCGCTCCGTGTCACCCAGAGTAGAGGCAAAAGTCCCTTCAATGCCTCATAAGGCTTCACTGTCTGGCACACGCCTCCTGTCTTCAGCTGTCCCCAGCTCCCGCCACTCTCCTCGCAGGCCTCCTTGAGCACCTTCCTACTTACTTCTACATGTACAGTGCCTCTAGACTATACGTCCATGAAGACAGGGATTTGGGCTCATTGTATTCACTGCTGTACAACCAGTCTCTAAGACAGAATCTGCCACAGGGCAGACACTCAACAAGTGTATGTTGAGTAAATGGCCCAACAGAAAGGTGTTCTAAGAAAGCCAGCACAGCAGTTGTGACCTCTGCAACTCAGGTCCTCTGGGCCACAAGCAGAAGAGAGTGAAGAGGCAGACAAATCCCAGCTGAAGAAGAGCTGCTGACTTAGGATGGAAGAGACCTTCAACTAATGCTGAGGATGAGGAAAAATGATAGTGTACCGAGGCAGGTAGGAACCCCCTGGAACCAGGATGCAGAACTGAATGTGGCACTTTGGGAAGAAAACTGACACAGCATCTACCCTGATCTGTGCGTTGGGCTGGCCATTTTACATATGTTGTTTTTTGTTTGTTTTGATTATTTATTTTTTTGAGACAGGGTTTTGCTCTGTTGTCTAGGCTAGAGTGCGGTGGTGTGATCACGGCTTACTATGGCCTCGATCTGGGTTCAAGCAAGCCTCCGACCTCAGCCTCCCAAGTAGCTAGGACCACAGGCAAGCACAGGCTACCATGTCCGGCTAATTTTTTATTTTTTTGTACAGATGGGGGTCTCCCTGTGTTGCCCAGGCTGGCATCAAACTCCTGGGTTCAAGCCATCCTCCTGCCTCAGCCTCCCAAAGTGCTGGAATTATAGGCATGAGCCACCGAGCTCAGCTACATCCGTTGTTTTATTCACTCCCTGCAGTGGCCTAAAAAGGCAAGTATTATCCCATTTTACAGATGAGGAGGCTGCTTAGGTCTGCACAACTAGGGAACTGAAGAACTGGATTCAAACTCAACTTTATTTGGTCCACTGCCCCAGTGGTTCTCACAAGGTGTTTTAGTAGCAATGAACTTCTGAGCTGAGACGCTTGTAAAAAATACAGGTTTCTGGGCTCTAACCTTTTTTTTCTGAGACAGAGTCTCACTCTGTTACCCAGGCTGGAGTGCAGTGGCACAATCTTGGCTCACTGCAACCACCACCTCCTGGGTTCAAGTGATTCTCCTACCTCAGCCTCTCAAGTAGCTGGAATTACAGGCACCTGCTACCACTCCCAGCTAATTTTTGTATTTTTAGTAGAGATGGGGTTTCACCATGTTAGCCAGGCTGGTCTCTAACTCCTGACCTCAAGTGATCCATCCGCCTCAGCCTCTCAAAGTGCTGGGATTACAGGCATGAGCCACCATACCTGGCCTATCTGGGCTCTACCTTTTCATTCGGAATCTCCAGGGATGCAGAACAAGAATGTGTACTTAGTGAACACCCTGGGATTCCCATGTCAGCCAGAGCATTCTGTCTCCCTGCTTCATTGTTGTTCAAGTCAGGGAAAAGATTAAATTACAGAGACAGGTCCTGCTCTGTTGAGAATTCAATGCAGTTCACAATTAAGGACGGCTTCTGATAGCAAAGGCAGACAGCCCATACTCTGGGTAACAAGGCATGCTTTTACTTCTATGACCTCAAGACACTTACAATCAAATTGGTGGACAAATCAAGGTAGGCAAGTGTCAGGAATACAAGTTCTCCACCATAAGTGATGGAAAAGCAGTATAAATTACATGCTATGGATGTTCAAAGGCAGGAGGGATGGGAGGGTCTCTGGCACAGAAGTGAAAATCAGCTCATGATTCATCAGGTAGGTGGTATTTGAGTCTTGAAGGATGGAAACAACTTTAGCAAGTGGAGATGGAGACAGAATATTTCATGTGAAGGGAATTAGCGCTGGTCAGTGGAAGGAGAGAAACTGCAAGATCTTTTTGGGTAATGATCAACAATCCAGTTTTGATGGGGCATAGAGGTGGGGTATATGTCCACTGGACTCAAATGCACGGCTCTGAATGCCATGGTGAGGAGCTTACTCAAAAGGGGCATTTGGAAGGGGTTTGAGTGGGAGAGGTAACAACTGAGAAAAACAAATATGACACTGAGTGTAGGATGGATTTGGCGTACGACGGAATGAGGAGGTGGGAAGACCACTGGGCAGATGAACCATGGAGGTCAAAGAAGTGTGGCAGGTTCCAGGAGAGAACCCTCAGCAGTTGGGCTGGCGGCGGGGAGGGGAACAGTGGGAAACTGAAATCCTGGGCTGGAGAGGAGGTTGAAGAAACTCTCACTGGGAGGCCTTAATTCTTCTCCATAGAGTTGGAGGCAAGGGCTTCTGCAGGATGAGACTGAGGGATTGAGAACAAAGTGGTATAAAACTGTGGTAGCATCAAAAAACTGAAAATAGGGAAAAATGGTGGTGAGGAGGCAGGACTAACTTGCAGCTCCCACTCAGAAGGACAGAACAGCATGTAGAAACTCACATCGTGAACTTTAGCTCCAAAAACCACCACAGGAACACAGCAGGAAAGCCACAAGATTTCACAGAATCTTTGAAGGAAGTGGCTTGCCACTGCAAACTCCATGAGACAGCCAAAAAACAAAAACTCTGAATTCAGACAAAAGACATAATCTCTTAGGAGCTCTATGGCACTGCCTATGGCCTGAGAAACCCAAATACTTATCCAGGCGACCTTAGGTTGTATCAGCTGATGCTCTCTTGAAAGCATCACCTCCTTGCTGGAGTCCAACCAATCGGGAGCACAAGCAGCATTTGTGAAAACCAGCGGACTATACAAAATTACAACCAAGGACAGAGTCCACTTCACTCCCCTGCTACCTCCACCTGAGCAGGTGCTGGTATCCACGGCTGAGAGACGTGAAGATGGATCACATTACAGGACTCTTTGACTCTCTGCAGGCACTCCCTAGCACCAGCCTGGAGTCCAGTAGCTCCACTGGGTGGCTAGACCCAGAAGAGCAATAACAATCATGCAGTCTGGCTCTCAGGAAGCCCCATCCCTAGGGGAAGAGGGAGAGCACCACATCAAGGGACCACCCTGTGGGACAAAAGAATCTGAACAGCAGCCCTTGAACCCCCAATCCTTCCTCTGACAGAGTCTACCCAAATGAGAAGGAACCAGAAAAACAATTCTGGTAATATGACAAAGCAAGGTTCTTTATCATCCACAAAAGATCACACTAGCTCACCAGCAATGGATCCAAATCAAGAAGAAATCACTAAACTGCCAGAAAAAGATCTAAGAAGCTCAATTGTTTAGCTACTCATGGAGGCACCAGAGAAAGGTGAAAACCAATTTAAAGAAATTTAAAAAGTAATATAGGATATGAATGAAAAAAGTCTCCTTAGAAGTAAATATCATCAATGAAAAACAATTACAACTTCTGGAAATAAAAGACACACTCAGAGAAATGCAAAATAAACTGGAAATTTTCAACAATAGAATCAAACAAGTAGAGGAAAGAACTTCAGAGCTCGAAGACAAGGCTTTCAAATTAACCCAATCTGACAAAGACAAAGAAAAAAGAAAAAAAAAATTGAACAAAGCCCCCAAGAAGTTTGGGATTATGTTAAACCACCAAACCTAAGAGTAATTGGTATTCCTGAGTAAGAAGAGAAATCCAGAATTTTGGAAAACGTATTTGAGGGAATAACTGAGGAAAACTTCCCTGGCCTTGCTAGAGACCTAGACATTGAAAGAGAAGAAGCTCAAAGAACACCTGGGAAATTCATCACAAAAAGATAATCACCTAGACACATAGTCAACAGGTTATCTGAAGTCAAGATGAAGGAAATAATCTTAACAGCTGTGAGGCAAAAGCATCAGGTAACCTATAAAGGAAAACCTATCAGATTAACGGCGGATTTCTCAGCAGAAACCCTGCAGGCTAGAAGGGAGTGGTCCTAGCTTTAGCCTGATTAAACAAAACAATTATCAGCCAAGAATCCTGTACCCAGTGAAACTAAGCTCCATAAATGAAGGAAAGATAGTCTTTTTTAGACAAAGAAATGCTGAGACAATTCACCACTACCAAGCCAGCACTTACAACAACTGCTAAAAGGAGTTCTAAATTTTGAAAAAAAAAAACCTTGAAATACACCAAAATAGAACTTCCAAAAAGCATAAATCCCACAGGGCCTATAAAACAGTAACACAATGAAAAAAAGAACCCCACAAGGTATTCAGGCAACAACTAGCACGAGGAACAGAATAGGACCTCACATCTCAATACTAACATTGAAAGTAAATGGCCTAAGTACTCCACTTAAAAGAGAAAGAATATCAGAATGGATAAGAATTCACCAACAGCAGACAAGTATCTGCTGTCTTCAAGAGACTCACCTAACACATAAGGACTCACATAAACTTAAGGTAAAGGGGTGGAAAAAGACAGTCTATGCAAATGGACAACAAAAGCGAGCAGGAGTAGCTATAGACAAAACAGACTTTAAAGCAACAATAGTTAAAAAAGACAAAGAGGGACATTATATAATGGTAAAAGGATTAGTCCAACAGGAAAATATCACAATTCTAAATATATATGTACTAACAATGGAGCTCCTAGGTTTGTAAAACAATTACCTCTAGACCTAAGAAATGAGATAGACAGCAACACAATAATAGTGGGGGACTTCAATACTCCACTGATAGCACTAGACAAGTCAAGACAGAAAGTCAGCAAAGTAACAATGGACTTAAACTATACCCTAGAGCAACTAAACTTAACAGATATGTACAGAACATTCTACCCAACAACTGCAGATATACATTCTATTCATCAGTGCATGGAACATTCTCTAAGACAGACCATATAATAGGCCACAAAACAAGTCTCAACAAATTTCTGAAAACTGAAATTATATCAAGGATTCTCTCAGACCAAAGCAGAATAAAATTGGAAATTGACTCCAAAAGGAACCCTTAAAACCATGCAAATACATAGAAATTAAATAATCTGCTCCTGAATGATCTCTGGGTCAACAATGAAATCAAGATGGAAATTAAAATTCCTTGAACTGAACAATAATAGTGATACAACCTACCAAAAACTCTGGGATACAACGAAAGCAGTGCTAAGAGGAAAGTTCATAGCATTAAATACCTACATTGAAAAGTCTGAAAGAGCACAAATAGACAATCTAAGGTCACACCTAAAGGAACTAGAGAAACAAAAACAAAGCAAACCCAAGCCCAGCAGAAGAAATGAAAGAACAAAGATCAGAGCAGAACTAAATGAAATTGAAACAAAAAAAATTACAGAAGATAAATGAGACAAAAGGTGGTTCTTTGAAAAGATAAACAAAATCAATAGACCATTAGTGAGGTTAACCAAAAAAAAGAAGAGAGCTCCAAATAGGTTCAATTAAGAATGAAATGGGAGATATTTCTAGTTCTAGATCCTTGAGGAATTGCCACACTGTCTTCCACAATGGTTGAACCAGTTTACAGTCCCATCAACAGCGTAAAAATGTTCGTATTTCTCCACATCCTCTCCAGCACCTGTTGTTTCCTGACTTTTTAATGATCGCCATTCTTTTTTTCTTTTCTTTTCTTTTTTTTTGAGACGGAGTCTCGCTCTGTCCCCAGGCTGGAGTGGAGTAGCACGATCTCAGCTCACTGCAAGCTCTGCCTCCTGGGTTCATGCCATTCTCCTGTCTCAGCCTCCTGAGTAGCTGGGACTACAGGCACCTGCCACCACGCCCAGCTAATTTTTTTGTATTTTTAGTAGAGACAGGGTTTCATCATGTTAGCCAGGATGGTCTCGATCTCCTGACCTCGTGATCCGCCTGCCTCAGCCTCCCAAAGTACTGGGATTTCAGGCGTGAGCCACTGCGCCTGGCCTAATGATCGCCATTCTAACTGGTGTGAGATGGTATCTCATTGTGGTTTTGATTTGCATTTCTCTGATGGCCAGTGATGACAAGCATTTTTTCATGTGTCTGTTGGCTGCATGAATGTCTTCTTTTGAGAAGTGTCTGTTTATATACTTTGCCCACTTTTTGATGGGGTTGTTTGTTTTTTTCTTGTAAATTTGTCTGAGTTCTTTGTAGCTTCTGGATATTAGCCCTTTGACAGATGAGTAGATTGCAAAAATTTTCTCCCATTCTGTAGGTTGCTTGTTCACTCTGATGGTAGTTTCTTTTGCTGTGCAGAAGCTCTTTAGTTTAATTAGATCCCACTTGTCAATTTTGGCTTTTGTTGCCATTGCTTTTGGTGTTTTAGACATAAAGTCCTTGCCCATGCCTATGGCCTGAATGGCATTGTCTAGGTTTTCTTCTGGGGTTTTTATGGTTTTAGGTCTAACATTTAAGTCTTTAATCCATCTTGAATTAATTTTTGTGTAAGGTGTAAGGAAGGGATCCAGTTTCAGCTTTCTCCATATGGCTACCCAGTTTTCCCAGCACCATTTATTAAATAGGGAATCCTTTCCCCATTGCTTGTTTTTGTCAGGTTTGTCAAAGATCAGATGGTTGCAGATGTGTAGTATTATTTCTGAGGGCTCTGTTCTGTTCCATTGGTCTGTATCTCTGTTTTGGTACCAGTATCATGCTGTTTTGGTTACTGTAGCCTTGTAGTGTAGTTTGAAGTCAGGCAGCATGATGCCTCCAGCTTTGCTCTTTTGGCTTAGGATTGTCTTGGCAATGCAGGTTCTTTTTTAGTTCCATATGAACTTTAAAGTAGTTTTTTTCCAATTCTGTGAAGAAAGTCATTGGTAGCTTGATGGGGATGGCATTAAATCTATAAATTACCTTGGGCAGTATGGCCATTTTCACGATATTGATTCTCAAAGATCTAGATCTAGAACCAGAAATACCATTTGACCCAGCCATCCCATTACTGGGTATATACCCAAAGGATTATAAATCATGCTGCTATAAAGACACATGCAAATGTATGTTTATTGTGGCATTATTCACAATAGCAAAGACTTGGAACCAACCCAAATGTCCATCAATGATAGACTGGATTAAGAAAATGTGGCATATATACACCATGGAATACTATGCAGCCATAAAAAAGGATGAGTTCATGTCCTTTGTAGGGACATGGATGAAGCTGGAAACCATCATTCTCAGCAAACTATCGCAGGGACAAAAAACCAAATACTGCATGTTCTCACTCATAGGTGGGAATTGAACAATGATAATACTTGGACACAGGAAGGGGAATATCACACACCTGGGCCTGTTGTGGGGTGGGGGGAGGGGGGAGGGATAGCATTAGGAGATATACCTAATGTAAATGACGAGTTAATGGGTGCAGCACACCAACATGGCACATGTATACATATGTAACAAACCTGCACATTGTGCACATGTACCCTAGAACTTAAAGCATAATAATAATAAAAAAGAATGAAATGGGAGATATTATAGGTGATACCACAGAAATACAAAAGACCATTCAAGGCTACTATGAATACCCTTACACACACAAAGTAGAAAAGCTAGAGGAGATGGATAAATTTTTGGAAATATACAACCCTCCTAGATTAAACCAGGAAGAAAAAGGAACTCTAAACAGACTAATAACAAGCAGCCCAATTGAAATGATAATTAAAAAATTGCCAACCAAAAAAGTCCAGGCACGGACAGATTCACAGTTGAATTCTATCAGACATTCAAGGAAGAATTAGTACCAATCCCACTGAAACTATTACAAATGATAGAGAAATAGAGAATTCTCCCTAAATCTTTCTATGAAGCCAGTATCACCCTAACACCAAAACCAGGAAAGGACATAACCAAAAAATAAAATTACAGACCAATATCCCTGATGAACATAGATGCAAAAATCCTCAACAAAATGATAGCTAACTGAATCCAACAGCATATCAAAAAGATAATCCAACCATGATCAAGTGAGTTTCATACCAGGGATGCAGGGCTGGTTTAATATACGCAAGTCAAGAAATGTGATACATCACATAAACAAAATCAAAAACAAAAATCATATGATCATCTCAATAGATGCAGAAAAAGCATTTGACAAAAATCCAGTATCCCTTTTTTATTAAAACCCTCAGCAAAATCGGCATAGAAGGGACATACCTTAATGTAATAAAAGCCATTTATGACAAACCCACAGCCAACATTATACTAAATGGGGAATAGTTGAAAGCAGTCCCCCCGAGAACTGGAACAAGACAAGGATGCCCGCCACTTCTATTCAACATAGTTCTGGAAGTCCTAGCCAGAGCAATCAAACAAGAGAACGAAATAAAGGGCATCCAAATTGTCAAAGAGGAGGTCAAACTGTTGCTCTTCACTTATGATATGATCATATACCTAAAAAACCCTAAAGACTCTGGATCTTCTAGAGTCTCCTAGATCTGACAAATAAATTCAGTAAAGTTTCAGGATACAAAATCAATGTGCACAAATCAGAAGTACTGCTATACACCAACAGCGACCAAGCTGAGAATCAAATAAAGAACTCAACTCCTTTTGCAATAGCTGCAAAACAAACAAACAAAAAAACACCTTAGGAATATACCTAACCAAGAACATGAAAGACCTCTACAAGGAAAACTACAAAACACTGCTGAAAGAAATCACAGATTACACAAACAAATGGAAACACACCCTATGCTTGTGGATGGGTAGAATATTGTGAAAATGACTATATTGCAAAAGCAATCTCCAAATTCAATCTAATTCCCATCAATATATTATCATAATTCTTCAAAGAACTAGAAAAAACAATCCTAAATTTCATGAGGAACCAAAAAAGAGCTCTCATAGCCAAAGAAAGACCAAGCAAAAAGAACAAACCTGGAGGCATCACATTATCCAACTTCAAATTATACTATAAGGCTATAGTCACCAAAACAGCATGGTACTGGTAGAAAAACAGGCACATAGACCAATGGAACAGAATAGGGAACCCAGAAATGAAGCCAAATACTTGCAGTCAACTGACCTTTGACAAAGCAAACAACAACATAAAGTGGGGAAAGCAAACAACAACATAAAGTGGGGAAAGCACATTCTATTCAACAAATGGTGTTGGGATAAATGGACAAGCCTCATGTAAAAGAATGAAACTGGATCCTCATCTCTCACCTTATACAAAAATAAACTCAAGATGGATCAAAGACTTAAATCTAAGACCTGAAACCATAAAAAGTCTAGAAGATAACATCAGAAAAACCCTTCCAGACATGGGCTTAGGCAAAGACTTCATGACCAAGAACCCAAAAGCAAATGCAACAAAAACAGATAAACAGTGGGACTTAATTAAATGAAAAAGCTTCTGCATAGCAAAAGAAACAATCAGCAGAGTAAACACACAACCCAACAGAATGGGAGAAAATCTTTGCAAACTATGCATTCAACAAAGGACTAATATCGAGAATCTACAAGGGACTCAAACAATTCAGCAAGAAAAAAACAAATAATCTCATCAAATAGTGGGCTAAGGACACAAATAGACAATTCCCAAAAGAAGATAAACGTCACGCCTATAATCCCAGCACTTTGGGAGGCCAAGACAGGTGGATCACGAAGTCAAGAGATCGATACCATCCTGGCCAACATGGTGAAACCCTGTCTCTACTAAAAATACAAAAATTAGCTGGGCATGGTGGCATGTGCCTGTTGTCCCACCTACTCGGGAGGCTGACGCAGGAGAATCGCTTCAACTCAGGAGGCGGAGGTTTCAGTGAGCCAAGATCGCGCCCCTGCACTCCAACCTGGCAACAGAGGGAGACTCCGTCTCAAAAAAAAAAAAAAAAGAAGATATACAAATGGCCAACAAACGTATGACAAATTGCTCAACATCACTAATGATCAGGGAGCTGCAGATCAAAACCACAATGTGATTCCACCTTACTCTTGCAAGAATGGCCATCATTAAAACATCAAAAGATAATAAATGTTGGCATGAATGTGGTGAACAGGGAACACTTTTATATCGCTGGTAGGAATGTAAACTAGTACAACCACTATGGAAAACAATATGGAGATTCCTTAAAGAACTAAAAGTAGATCTATCATTTGATCCAGCAATTTCATTACTGGGTATCTACCCAGAGGAAAAGAAGTCATTATATAAAAAATACACTTGCACATACATGTTTATAGCAGCACAATTTGCAATTGAAAAAATATGGAACCAGCCCAAATGCCCATAAATCAACAAGTGGATAAAGAAAATGTCAGATATATATGTGTGTGTGTATATATATGTATATATACGTATATACGTACATATATACATATATACGTATATATGTATATATATGTGTGTATATATGTACATATATGTGTATATATATGTGTATATATATATACACACACATACACACCATGGAATATTGTTCAGCCATAAAAAGGAACAAAATAATGGCATATGCAACAACCTGGATGGAGTTCAATACCATTATTTTAAGTGAAGTAACTCAGGGATGGAAAACCAAACATCATATGTTCTCACTTACAAGTGGGAGCTAAGCTATGAGGAGGCAAAGGCGTGAGAATGATATAATGCACTCTGGGGATCCAGAGAGGGAAGGGTGGGAGGAGGGTGAGGGATAAAAGACTGCACATTGGGTACAGTGTACATTGCTCGGGTGATAGGTGTACCAGAATTTCAGAAATTACCGCTAAAGAACTTATCCATGGAACCAAACAGCACCTGTTCCCCAAAAACCTATTGAATTAAAAAACTTAAAAAATACAAAAACCTAAAAATAGATTTACCCCCATGATCCAACAATCTCACTGCTGAGGATATATTCAAAGGAAAGGAAATCAGGATACCGAAAAGATGCCTGCACTCCCATGCTTATGCAGCTCTATTAGCCAAGATACGAAATCAACATAAGTGCCCATCAATGGATGAATAGATAAAGAAAATGTGGTATGTATACATAATGGAATACTATTTAGCCACAGAAAGAATGAAATTCTGTCATTTGCAGTAACAAATGACAGGAACTAGAACTGGAAGACATTAGGTTAAGTGAAATAAGCCAGGCACAGAAACACAAATATTACATGTTCTCACTTACATGTGGGAGCTAAACAAAATTGATCTCACAGAGGGAAAGAGTAGAATGATGGTTACCAGAAGCTGGGAAGGGTGGCAGGGGTGAGGCTGGGATAAAGACAGTTTGGTTAATAGGTACAAACGTAAAGTTAAACAGAAGGAATAAGTCCTAGTATTCAACAGCGCAGTAGGGTGACTACAGTTAACAATAATTATATATTTCAAAACAGCTAGAAGAGATGATTTGGCATGTTCCCAGCAGAAATAAATGATAAATGTTTGAGGTGGTGGATATCCCAATTACCCTGGTTTGATCATTATGCATTGTATGCATTTGTCAAAATATCACATGTACCCCATAAACACTACAATCATTATGTATCAATAAAAAAGCTCACAGATCAATAAGAAGGATTTGTTTTGCCCCAGGAGGAGCAGGGGTCCAGCTAATGCTCCACAACTGTAGTCTGCACTCACCCAAATCAGAAATAAGACAACTCTTCTGGGAGAGTAAAAAAGCAGGGTGACTCCTATAATGGGAATACAGTCATTCCTCATATGTCATTCTGCACAGCCATGCTTCAACCTCAATGTGAAACTCTTTTAAACGTGTTCAGCTCAAAGCATGATGTGGGCTGTGTTCTGTCTGAAGTCCATCTCCAGGCAGTCCTGAAAGTCATCTTAATTTGATGAATTAGAGAGCTGAGAAATCACAACATCTGGAAGTCTGATTTCTCCATGCTACCATTGTTAAGGGGAACCCAACTTTTCCAGGGCAATTTTATCTCCTCACCACCGATTTTGGTCGATACTCCCTGGCTAATGTTGAAGTCACTGGTTTCAGACTTCGGCTCTAACACACACACAACTGTTGCTAAAAAGTGAAATGAGTGACATTTACTGCTTTGCTTGCTTTGTGGAGGCTACCCTATTGATCACAACTGGGATTTACTTAAACATTTCCTAGCAGAAAAATAACTCCTGATTCTATCTCCTTCTGAAAATGCCAACAAATATGCCTGAGGCAGTAAAAAAAAAAAAAAAAAAAAAGAAGAAAGAAAAAAACGGAATAAAATCATTTATCCATCCCCTCTACAACCATGTTGTTTTGTTAATATTATAACTTTAATTATTTCTCTGGTTCTTGACAGTTCACGTTGTTGGTCTAACCCTCACCCCGTATTGATTCTCCTCCTGTTAAAAACAAGCATCAGGGAGGCACCAAAAATTGCATGCTCAAGCTTAGTGCTATGCCAGGAGGTTATATCATGCATATTAAATCTGGACAGCATTTAGGCTAAAGCAATCTTAGCTTTATGATCTTGTTGGTTTTTAAAGAAAATGTTAATGAAATATACATTACTTATGGCAGACAGCAATCCCAGTGGGGTCCATTTCAATTAGTATAGTTTGTTCAAATAAAAAGCAAATTCAGCTCCTCCTCATTTGTCACCGGGCTGCCCTGCAACCTGAAGGCAGGGCCAGAAGAGAAAGTAGAGGAGAATATCGATGAGCGTTTTCAGACCAACTCGGGAGTCTAAGAAAGAGGAGGGGATTCCTGACCAATTCATTCCCACCCACAGTGACTCTGAACTTCTCTTCTATGAGAATGACAAAGCATTTTAGTTGGTGCACCTTCCAGACACTGCATCCATGTGTCAAGGTGGCAAATTACCAGAAAAGTCAAGCATTCTGGCTTTGTGATGATGTTCTTAGGTCTGTTGTAGGCCTATGTCTTAGATACCGTGCTAGCTTCCCAGGGCTGCTGTAACAAAGTGCCATGAACTGCGTGGCATGAAAACAATAGAAATGTATTCTGGAGGCCCAAAGTCTGCAATCAAGCTGTCAGCAGGGCGTGCTCCCTCTGAAGGCCCTAGGAAAGAGTCCTTCCTTGTCTCTTCCTCGCTGCTGGTGGTTTCTGGCTATCTTGGGTGCTCCTTGGCTTGTAGATGCATCTGGTAATGATTCTACTCTTTACCTCCATTGGATCAATTGTGTTTAGCTCTCAATCTCTGTTTCTGTCTTCACGTGGTCCTGTGAGTCTGTGTCTCTGTGTCCAAAATTCCTTCTTCTTACAGGGACATGAGACATATTGGATTTAGGGCCCACCCTAATCCAGTATGACCTCATCGTGATGGTTAATTTTATGTGTCAACTTAGCTAGGCTATGGTAATCAGCTTTTAGTCCACCACCAGTCCAGATGCAGCTGTGAAGATATTTCTTCAGATGAGATTAACATCTCTGAGTTCAAGCAAATAGTGTGGGCGGGCCTCATCCAATCAGTTGAAGGCTTTCAGAGAAAAGACTGAGGTTCCCGGGAAAAGAAGGAATTCTGCTTCCAGACTCCCTTCTGACTCAAGACTGCAACATCTACTCTTCTCTTGGTCTCCAGCTTGCTGACCTGCCCTGCAGATTTTGGACTAGCTAGCCCCGAACAACTGCATGAACCAATTCCTTAAAATAAATTAATATCATTCTATCTACATCCTATTCTATTAATTCCATTTTCCTGAAGAATGTTGACCATAAAACCATCTTAACTTGATTACATCTGCAAAAACTATATCCAAATAAGGTCACATACACAGGTGCTGGGTGGTTATGAATTTATGGAGAACATTATTCAACCCAGTACAGATATGGTAGACTAGAGCCTCGCTATTCAAATGGTGCTTGGATCAGCAGCAGCGGCATCTCCTGGGAATTTGACAGACATGCATTCTCTCTGGCCCCATCCTGGACCTACTGAATCAGAATCTTCATTTTAACAGATCCCCAGATGATTTGTGTGTACATTACAATTTGAGAAGTACTGGGCTAGAAGATCATGTTTCCAACCATTTACAGTATTTATAATAAAAGGCTTGAAGTCTAGACATTGTAAAAGTCAGATAGCTCTAAAGTAAAGGGTCAAAGAGGAAGAATTAAGAAACAAAGTAGAAATAACAGGGAAATTTGAAATAAGTCATCTCTCTTATTAATCAATATACACCTTACCAATAGTGGAAAATAAATAAATATTTGTCAAACAAATGGACAAAAGAATACATGAATGAAATGGGCTCTTTGTAACAGAGGTTTTCTAACAAACTGGCTTCTATTTACAAGGAAAGCCTTTAGGCAAAAGAGAAAAATTTCATTTCCACCCTCCAGAGTCCAGGTCACCTTTCCCCCTTCCATGTCTCACTGAGAGGCACTGCCATGCCGATGTGATTACCTGGTGACAGTGTCTCACTTGAATACTCATGTCTTGCTCTAGGCTCCCACTGTAACTCATGTTGACATGGAGCAATGTTTCATTTCCAGATCCATATGTATGAATTTTTAATGAACTGTGTCAAAGAAATCAAATATTTCCCCCTGCATTCCCACTCTATGGAATCAGATTTTGACCTTCTGCCAAACAACTATAAATCATGTTCAGCGGAAAGAGCAGGAACCAGGGGCTACTGCACATAGATTAGCCAGTCAATTTCCCTCTGTCAGCCCTTCACCTAAGCTGTCTAGGATGGGAGAGGAGGGAGGAGAGGAGAGGATGGAATAGAGGAAGGAAGGAAGGAAGGAAGGAAGGGAGGGAGGGAGGGAGGGAGGGAGGGAGGGAGGAAGCAAGCCAGTCAGCCTAGAAAAGAAATATAAACAGTAGGCACTCAACGGTTACTAAAATATTTAAGCCATAAAAATGAGATCACTTATTTTTTGAAACCTGGGTGATCATCTTGTTAACTAGAATCTTTGGATCATTAATTCCCTGCTTCTGTAATTTGGTCTTATATTTCTTCATGTAAGATGACTTAAAACTGGGGGGTGGGAGGGGGAGGTGAGAAGTTTGAAAAAGTAGAATGAAAATAAATAATTTCCTTTTTCAAGAGCACTTTCCTAGAATTTCCAATGAACTATGCAAAACACAGCAGGACCTTCCTAAATAAAGGCTCAATCAACACTTAGAAGGGAGCTGCAATTAGATACCATTTCTTGCCTAGCAGTGCAAGAATGATTTTTTAAAATGATAATATCCTATGTTGGCAATTACGTGATGAAAAAAAGGTTCTATCAAATTGCTTGTGGGGGTGTAAACAGATATCCATTTGGATAACAAGTTAGTAATATAAGTGTAATGGGCCCTAAAGGTGTTCATACCTCATATAAATCTTACGGTAATCTATCCTAAGGAAGTAATTCAAAAGACGAAAGCAAAAAAAAAAAGGTTTAAAGCCATCACAACTTCGTCTACAACAATGTATTGACAAAATCTAAATGTTCATCAATAGATGTGTGGCTAAGTAAAATAAGATGCACCCATTTAATAGAATATCATACAACCATTAAGAATGCTTACTAAGAGTTTATAACAACATGGGAAAATATTTATTAATATAAGTGGGAAAAAAAGTAGGATGTAAAACTGAATAAAAAGTATCACGGTTGCAAGAACAAAAAGCCTCCATTGCCTAGGCATGGAAAAGGATATGGGAGGAAATACGCCAACTGCTAATAGTGATTATTTATGGAAGCAGGAAATGTGGGTAAAATTTTCCCTGTTCTATATTTTCCAAACATCCTGTAATGAGTATATGTACTTTTATAATGGGAACATAAGATTTTATTGTGCTTTTGAAAAGCAAGTCAGTTGTATAAGTAAAATTCTAAAAGATATCTCTTTCAACAAACAATAGCAACTGGGTCATGGCTAATTCAAGGTGAAGCACATTTGTAAATATCAAATTTTCTAATCTAACATCCAGATCTGGGACATAGAAGAATCTGGCGGGCTGCCTGCTCGCAAAGCTTCTATCTCTGTCCAAAACACTGCACTTAAGAAGTTAAAGGAAGAGTCAGAGCTGTCAGCTTTAAGCCAGTAGATTCTAGGATGATTCAAATAGCTGTCATAGACACTCCATTTGCTAAAGCTCACTCACTGGAAGGGGATCTGCCACACAGGGCTGAAGAACAGACACACGGATGGACAGACATGGATTATATCGGACCCTGCTGCTTGCCAGCAATCATCCCCACTCACAGCATTTTCCTTTCTTGGCAAGTTTGTACACTTAAAAGCTACCAACTCTCGCTTTTTTACCCTGTTCAAGCAAAAAATTTTGAAGCAAGCCATCTGTGCCTGGAAATGAGCAGCAATCTAAGACCATATGCAAGTGCAGGGGCAGGGGCACAATTCCATTTGAGTGATGAGTTTATTGATAAATGTTCTAAGTGGCTGACTCTTGTTCAATTTTAAATAAAGCAACACTTGGGTATTTTAAATAGGTGAAACAGCATCAGCAGCAGGCAGCTTGTGATGAGCAAACCCAACGCCCATGTGCTTCACATAAGACATCTTAACAATTTTCATCACCATGGAAGCTTGTATGAGATGCACAGGGACAGAGCGTGGCTGAGATTCCCAGGGCTCAACCATGATATCAGCTCCTGTGTGACCTAGAGGATCACCCAGGGCAGTGGTAAGAGGCTGGAAAATGGCTCCTTCTAGAAAGATGTCTTAATTCAGTTCTGTCACCGATTTCCTCTCTTCCCACTGGAAGCTCTAGGTCTCTATTTTCTTAATCCAGTCAGGCAGGACATAGATCAAAGCAGTGAAAACTGAAGCCACTCAGCACTAGGGACAAAGATGAAAACGGGAGCAAAATTGAGGTGGCTCATTCAGTGCTCTAAACCAGTGAACTTCCACCATTTGAGACACTATTCCCCCAATATATGTATATTTCCATTATATACATGATCCCGTCAATCTATATATCAAATCTAAAGCTTTTCTTTCTTCCTGCCCTTCTTCCCCTCCCCTTTTCCCTTTCTCTCTCCCTTTTCCCTCCCTCCCTCCCTCCCTTCCTTCCCTAAACAATCACCTTGCACACATCCCTCTTTGGAAGACTGTTCTAAACACTCAAGTGGGTTATCAAATGGGTGCAGGAGTGAAGGGGTGGGAAAGGCAGTGCATTTCCTACCTTTACAGTCTTGCAGAGGGAAACCATCCTGAAAAGGATTTCCACATATGGTTGGTAGGTATCTTACATCACCATTCTCCGAAATCTATTTACCTACACTGGGCACTTGACTATACCCAGTCACACATCATATGCAGGGAAGTAAGGCTAGGCTTCATTAATGTGGATCCCATAAGCTAATTCAAACCAGGCTGGGCTAAGCCACACCTCGGTGCTGTGTATTAAGAAGAATGGGTCTGCTGAATAATCAGAGTGGAGAAAGTGGCAGCAGTCAGGGGGATGTTTAATTGCTGGAAGGGAATAGACTCTTTTCAGGCTCCATTTATAGCCAAGCAATCCATCTACCAATTACAGGCAAGTTCTTATCCAGACATTAAAGCAGGCAACTGCCTGTGTTGGAAATCAACCAAAACTGCTTATCTTCAGCCTTCCATAATTCCAGACCTTTTGCTGATCCGCCCTGGCTTCTCGCCTAATGCGTTTGCATTGCTTTTTCTGCTCCCACTTTTAGCCCCTAGAGTTTACCCTGATATCAAACACCCATGAAGACACACAGGCAAGGCAGTGAGCAGATCTTTGTTTTAACTGCTTGGGGAAGGAAGAAGCTGTTTGGTCTCTTGGGTCTGTATTTGGCCTGCTGAACATCACAGCTGCTGAGCCCTTGTGGATAGGATCCAGATATAACGACAACCCTGTTTCCCCCTTTGCATTTGAAATATTCCAGAAAGGGAGACTGTCATGAGAAGGGGATGGGGGAAGCTGCAAAGTTAGCCAATGCATTTTAAAAATGGAGACTCCATACCAAATTGGGCATTTCCATTGCAAATCAAGCATTCACTGGGCCCACCATTAGCCAAGCTCAGGATCCTGGCTAATTAAGTCAGTCTCCAGTGGGAAGCTATAGACTTAGGGACCACGGCTTAGCTCCAGTCTGAGAAGCTCACGGCTAAGGCTCTGCTTCATTCTTCATGCAATGTCTAGCAAATCAAAGCTAATGTGAGGAGCACAGCCACAGCTGACTGGGCCTCCCCTCAGTCATGTGCACTCAAAGCCCAGGGCACCACTGATTCACATGTCATTTCCCTGCATTAACATTCTGTCTGGGTTCTAGCTTCACACTCAACAAGTCTATTGCAAGCTATAAATCAGGAGACGAAGGACAGGGTGGTGTGCCAAGACATGTTCTCAGACATGGTGCACAGTGACAGAAACCATCTTAATAATGCGATCTTTAGAGACTCAAGGAAGATCGGACATGCTGTCATTTCTCCCTTGATGAGGAATCCTGCCAGGGAGAAGTGACTGATATCCCAATTCTTCAAAAATGCATCTTTCTAAAAATGTAGATGAAACTTACAAAAATAGCTTTGATGCTCCTCCAACTCAACTTTTTCCCCAGCACCCTGCCCCCACCGTGGCTTAAAAATACCACGCCAGGAATTTATATTTGGTTCAAAGTTGCTTAGCACATCGAGGCTAAATACAGCTTATACACCAATTTTGCTTCCAAAATTACTTACTTGTAAATGTATAAAACCGTTAACGGAATGATTTATAGTTTTACTTCAGTTCTTTCATTACTGATTTGCAGAGATCTCTCTAGGGGTGATTATTTTTGGATATTTCTAAGTCTGCGGACTGCACAACTCTCGATAGATGTTAACTCATTCTCAGAGAGCCTCATCGTAACTGAATTATGCATCTCATTCATTTAAACATTTAATGAACACCCATGAAGCATTAAGTACAGCAGGGCACACAAAGCTGACTAAGGCAAGGGCTTGTGTCCTCAAGAACTTACACTTGTTCTCAGTCATCTTGTAAGCTGGGAGATGTGTTGATACAGTGGCTAAATTTAGTGGCAAAATAAAACTTCCCTGGTCTGAAGCCCAGGTTGTATATGTCTACCAATGTATCTTACCGCTCTTCTGTAAGAGGAATTTGCCGGGACTGAAGTGGAGTTGGCCTCTGAAGATTGTTGTACTCCATCCATCCATCCATCCATCCATCCATCCCAAAATGAATCAACAGAATGTAGACTCCACAAGGGTAGGGATTTTTATCTGTTTCCCCCACATTTATAAACACATCTACAGATATGTATTTAGAAATATATCTACAGGTATGTATTTATAAATACATCATATATTTATATGATGGCCTGTCTGCTATTTGTAAAAGTTTGTATCTCACCCTGCTAGCAGGAAGCAGTTGCCAGAGCCTGATTTCTACTTGGAACAAAATCACTCTGAAGTTCCATTTCCTCATTTAGAAAATGGGGATAGTATTATAGATGCCATAGGATTCCTGGGAGGAATCAAAGGGGTAATATAAGAAATGTACTTTACACACAGTGCCTGGTACCCTAAAGCTCTTGACTAATGTGGAGTATCTTCCCCTCTCTGCTACAGGAAAGGGAAATCAGAAAGAATGGGAAGCCCTCACTGTGCACAGAAGGAGAGACGGGCATTCTGAGAGCTTCAAGATCCTGCTTCTGGCCAGGCGCGGTGGCTCACGCCTGTAATCCCAGCACTTTGGGAGGCTGAGGTGGGCAGATCACCTGAGGTCAGGCGTTCAAGACCAGCCTGGCCAACATGGTGAAACCCTATTTCTACTGAAAATACAGAAATTAGCTGGGTGTGGTTGCAGGTGCCTGTAATCCCAACTACTCGGGAGGGTGAGGCAGGAGAATCACTTGAACCTGGGAGGCGGAGGTTGCAGTGAGCCCAGATTGCGCCATTGCACTCCAGCCTGGGCAACAAGAGCGAAACTCTGTCCCTCCCCACGCCAAAAAAAAGATCCTGTTTCCATTTCGAGTTCTCACTAAGTCATTGTGTGACTTTGAGCTGGTCACTAACGCATTTTCAGTCCCGATTTCTTCTATGTGAAAATACTTTTTAAAACTGAAAACCAATATGAAAGGGTAAACGATACCTATGAAAAGAACCAGACAGCATTATTTTATTCAAAGATCCTCTCTGACAAGCAGAGTTCCTGGGTTGAACGATGGGCCAAAAATTTTTTAAGGGAAAAAACTGACCCCTGAGAGCCTCATTAAAAGAAAGATAAACTCCCAGGAACCATATTTTATTTTTTGCTGCAAGGCTAAATATGGGTTAAGAGGAAAAAATAACTGCTGGGATAAGCATTCATGTATCTTATAATTAAATATTTCAAGGAGGATTTGGTGCAACAGGGGTCGCTAAGCTGCCATTCACTCCCACGGGCCTTATCTCCTCTGGCTGGGAAATCACGCTGGCTTTCTGTGAGCGTGATTTTCCCCCAGGATTCACTGGGCCACGTCCCTCGAGGCTGGCCCACACAAAGGGCAGAGGGGACTGAGAACAAAGATGCGGTGCCTGCAATACGTCCCACAAAACAGCAAGCTGGAATTTTATCACGTTCACTTCACCAGGACGTTCATTCACCACACAGATTCAGGTTTATTCTTTGCATCTCAGGCAAGAACAGGGAAGGGAGATGCTTTTCTTTCTGTCAGACTGTGGCTTATCTGCCTCGCTCACAGCCAGTAAGGCCACGGATTTATAAATTTTCCTGCAACGGTCTTATCAACCACTAGCAATGTGCAGCAACGTGGGACTGAGTGTTTTCAAGGGGGTCCCAACAAAAGCCCTGCGGCTCTGTGTTGCTGATGAGTTGCCGGAGGACTCACTACTGGGCAGGGAACATAAGACTCAGGCTTGGGATGGAAGGAGAGGAAGGAACCGTCCTGGCCCTCCAGGGTAGGGGTGGTTATTCTGTGGGCAAAGGTCATAGGCCTTTGCCACCTTGATTCTTGTCCCCTGAGTTCTCCTTTTTTTTTGAGGGCCTCGCTCTGTTGCCAGGCTGGAGTGCAGTGGCATGATCTGGGCTTACTGCAGCCTCAACCTCCCAAGCTCAAGCAATCCTCCCACCTCAGCTTCCCATGTAGCTGGGACTACAGGAGCATGTCACCACATCTGGCTTTTTTTTTTTTTTTTTTTTTTTTAGTTTCTGTAAAGACGGTGTTTTACTATGTTGACCAGGCTGGTCTTGAACTCCTGGCCTCAAGTGATCCTTCTGCCTTGGCTTCCCCTGGGATTACAGCAGTGAGCCACCGCATCTGGCTCCTTTTTCTTTTTAGAGACAGGGTCTGACTCTGTTGCTCAGGCTGGAGTCCAGTGGCGTGCTCACGGCTCACCGCAGAATCAACCTCCCGAGCTCAGGTGATCCTCCCACCTCGGCTTCTCCAGTAGCTGGGACTACAGGCAAACACCACCATACCCAGCAAGTTTTTTAAAATTTTTATATAGATGGGGGTCTCACTATGTTGCCCAGGCTGGTCTCAAATTCCTGGGCTCAAGCGATGCTTCGGCCTTCGTGTCCTAAGTGCTGGGATTACAGCCATGAACGACCACACCCGGCCAAGTTCTTTTTCAATGGAATTGTCAACATGTATCACTGTCACTATCTCCTTATCTCACTGTTCTTCTTCTTCCTCATTTCTATTCAAATCTGAGTAACAGTTCAGCCCTTCCTTTAATTTCCACAATTTAAGAAAGCAGCCAACACGTACAAAATTACAATTAGAAAAACTGGTGTTCTCTTGCACAGTAGGGCAGCTATAGTTAATAATAATGTATTGTATATTTCAAAATAGCTAGACCTTTCTGAATGTAGTCACCAAAAGAAATGACACACATATAAGGTGATGGATGTGCCAATTACCCTGATTTGATCATTACACAACGTATACATGGATTACAACACATTGTACCCTGTAAATATGTACAATTATTACGTATCAATTAAAAAAAATAAAAGACAGTTGTAGTAAGAAGAGGCTATCATTTTAACAGCATTAATTCATTCATTTATTCATTCCACAAAGTCTTCAGTGAGCATCTGTCACACCACAGGCACTGCTCCAGCTGATGGGATATGATGATATACAGAACAGAAATTCCTGCCCTCACAGAATTTACATGGTAGTGGGCAGAGACAGAGAGTAGATATAATAAAAAGTTATAGGGTATATTGTTTGGGAGAAGATAATAAATGCTGTGGCAAAAAAAAAAAAAAAAAAGCCCAGAACATGGTAAGTGGAACGAAGAGGGAGCGGGGTTGGTGATGGGTTGCAATTTTAAACAGGGGGTGGGGATGGGGATGGGGTTCTCCTTGAGAGGGTGGCACCTGATAAAGAGCTGAAGGTGGACCCTTGGGTATATGGAAGACAGGTGTTCTAAGTGAACAGAACAGCAAGTGCAAAGATCCTGGGGTGAGAGAGTCTTTGGTGCATTTGAGGAAGAGCAAGGGGGCTTTTTCCTTAAAATTCAATGAAACTCAAAGGGAATTACCCCCGGACAGTGACGTGCCTGGAACTCTCACAGCTGAGGCAGCTCTCATAACTCATGTGCTGAGGCTATCTTCATAGACTATCCCACTGGAATGTTTTTTCAACATCAGGTCTCAACCAAATAGTATAATAAGTACAGAAACTAACATAGTGGGTCAGGGCCAGCATAAAACGAAAAGAAGGGAATAGAATGTATTAAAAAATACCTGCGTCAGTGTGCTGAATGTAGAATGACTTCCTATCTGTATATTTGTGATATAAAAGTAGTTCTTATTGTAGGTTGGGGTCCAAATTGCTTAACAGCTACTAACCAACAGGTTACCTTCTACTGAGTCCCCAACTTGCCTCCTTGTAGCAGTGCCTTCTGCTCCCAGAACCTGGAAGCATCTACCCGTGACAGATCTAGATTCCTTATAATCTAAGCTCAAAAAGAGGCTCAGAGAGAAAAAGATGTTTCCTCAACCACCAGACCTTGCCTGTCTCAGCAACAACTGAAATGGAGACACTCCGCTCCCTCCAAAAGACAGACACCCTGCTTCCCACCCAGGGGCTATATCTTCCTGTGATGGTCCCAATGGCTCCTACTCCACTAGAATTTTAAGACACTCAAAACAGAGACCCGCAAAATAGTAGGGGCTCCCTTCCCTTATCATGACCCCCAATCCACAGAGTGGAGTTTAACTCATGGGCAGTTTGCTGGAAAATAACTCCCTGGCCTAACCAATGTTCATCTGTTCTCTGGGCCAAGAACCCCATGGTTCATTTGGGACTTTAAAAACTGACTAAATAAAAAGAAATTTTAAAAATCAACAAAAGTGCAACAGAACCACTCACAAGCTGCAATGTGGGAAACTCTTCAATTAACTCCCTCTCAAGTTTTTCTCTTCTGACAAGACCAAGTTTGTCTGGCATCCCCCAGAGGTCTCCCTTTATCTGGACAACTCATTTTGAGTTTTTGGACTACATCCTGCACTAAGCAGGAAATTATTAATGTTCCCGTTTAAAGGCATGAGGGGGCAGAGATCCTCTATGATGGTTTCGGGGGTGCAGGAAACTGTATACAATCTGGAGACCCCATCAGCCCCTTACAGCATTACTGGGAGCATTCTGAATGGGGTCCTCTCTTTCCAGCAGGAGACCAAAAGATTGCCCTTAATAGAATTGTTTAAATTGCCTAAAATTGCTGCTTCTATTCCAGGCTGAAAATTACAGCCCTTACGCTGTTTCCCATCCTCTCCCCAGGGTTACTCAGTGCCCCAGAGGAGATCTGTACTAACAACATCATCAACAAAACCTGAATGTACTTTGTGTGGAGAAAAATATTTGCAGCTTTTCAACCAGATCCGAAAAGGCAGTGACTGACATACACACGTTCTCCCAAATGAATTCAGATTTTCCTTTTTTTTTGGCATGACAAAACAAATTACCAGCTTGATTTATGTTGCCTTCTGAAATGTTACAAATCAAATGCTAAAAATCTCTGAAACCATATCATGCTGAAGATGATGAATGCTGATCTTCCTTCTTTGTCATTTTCTGCCAGCTGGGTGGGTGCCATGAGGAGGGGAGGGGATGATGAAGAAGTTATTGTTGCCAAATAATGCCACATCAGGGTGTGAGTGTTGAGACAGTCATTTCCTTACCTTAACTCCCCTCTAAGAGAAGGCTGTGTGTGGGTAAACAAACAAAACCCAATCTGTGTATATTTCAAGGACGTAGATCTTCTGAAAACTGCTGTTTACTGCAGTGAGACAGCACTGCCTTGGGAGACCCAACTTCTTTCAGCTCATGCTAACAATGGCAAATGGGTGGACCTGATCCAAGTGGCCCTGTACTGCCCCATCCATGTTCTGCCAAGGCACCTGGCCCTACCCAGGGTCCTGCTGGGCAGAGCTGGCTATACGAACAAACTTGGGCTTTGAGTTTGCAGTGACAATGTGTATGTGCAAACAGCTCTTCAGTTGGGGATCGTGCCACTCCAAAGGAATCACAAGCTGCTTTGGATTCAATCTTGAAGCCTCAACCAAGACTGCCAACTACTGGCGGTCTTTTTTATCCCTTCAGGTGCTTAGCTGTTGATGAGGTTATACAATTTCCACTCAGTACGTTCTTCTCAACGAAAGCAAAGGACTTCTGACACATCGCAAGGCTCTACCTCGAATCAGCAGAGTCAATCTCTTGTATGGAGTCTCTAAAAACTGCTCCCTGGGTGATTCTAATGTGCAACTAGGATTGAGAACCACTAAAGAAATGGTGAGGCAGAACATGACTCATCTAAGAACATAATTTCCCAGCTCAAAGCTCTTTCCTCCACAGAGCCCTGCAGGTGGCCACATGCTACTATTGCTGGCTCAGCTTCTTAAAGGCAGGGGGAAGGCAGGCCCAGGACTTTTAAGGACCAAGACTAGGCTCCAACAGAGGATTTTCTAGATAGGCGCATCCCACTCTAGTTTCCATTGAAAAAAATCTTGCTACGCACCTACTATGAGCCAGGCGGGTACCCCTGGGAATAACAGGGGTGAACAAGAGGCCCCTGCTGTATCCTAAAGTGATGGATAACTATGTTCTTGAACTAGGCTAAGTGCTTTGCATTCTCTCATTGTCTCATTTAATCCTTACCACTAGTCTGTGAAGTACGTATTATTATCCTTATTTTACAGAGGAAGAAACTAAGGCTCAGAAACATTAAGCCACTTGCTCAAGGTCACACAGCTGGGAAATAACACAAGTCTGACTTGTTCCAGGCACGGAGGCCAGCGTGGGGAGAAAACAGGGAGCAAAGATGAGCTGGGGAACAGACGCGGAAGTCAATATAACTATGACTTCAGCGGGCTCTCTCCAAACAAAGTTTTAGATGAAATTCTTTAAACAAGAAGGAAGAAAATAATTTGGAATTTCTGGCAACATTTTGAGGCAGAGCTTCAAAGGACCCGGATAAATAATGAATGTCACTGAAAGGCCACAGAGCAGAGGGGCAGAATCACATGCTCGCCATGCCAAGAGCTGCTGAAGAAAGAAAATACTTGACAGCGTGATCTGTGGGTTGTTAACAGCATCTGAAAATCTTTCTAGGTCAGCAGATTTCCTAGACAGCTGTGATCCACTCTGGGGAGACTGTCAGCCATTGATTAATTCCTAATCAATGAGAAAGCAAATGATGGCAAATGAACCAGCCTGAACTGGAAAGATTGTGGGTCTGGGGTAAAAGGCCATCCTCTTCCCAGCAGAATTCAAAGTAAGGGCAAGGGTGAGAGGGTGGAAAACAGGGAAATGGGGAAGAGGAGGAGCTGCCCAAGGAAAGAGGACAGGAAGGGAGAGAGAGAAGCAGACAGACAGATGGACTGGGCCTAAAGACAGCATGAGCTCCTGGGAGAGGGACTTGTGGTAGAGGCCAGGGGAGACTGCCTGGGGTCACCTGGTGGTTGGTTTGTCCATGATGGAAAATTTTGTCTCAAATGAGGCTGTCATTAGGATGCACATGGATGTCCCTCTGACATAAGTTCCAAGAAAATTAACCAATAGGAACTGAATGATAAGACATGAAACAGATTCCTAATTAAGTTACCTGACTCCAGACTGACTGCAGCTGCAGGTTCTGAAATGGGTTTGCATGGGAGGCTACAGGCAGTATGGAATGGGGGAAAATAACGGGGTTTTTGGTCAATTAAGTTCAGGAAACACAGGTTAGACAACAACAAACAATTTCTTTTCCCTACGACTTCTCTAAACCTCTGTTGTGATTTCTAAGATTGGGAAAGTGCCTCCCAAATTCATGTGACCACAGGCGGAGCTGCTTGTGGATTTAGGGTTCTAAGGAACATGCTTTAGGAAAGCTACTTGGGTACAAAGGGAATAAGTGGGGTCCAAGAGCCCCTAGGCTGTGCCACCTGGGGTCTAGTCATCTCTTGGACACTAACAGTGGGTCACCATTTACCTGTCCTGGCTCACCCGCAGGCTGGGTACATCAGTGGTGGTAGTATCATGGGCACATTCTTCAAATTTAAGTCCCCCAGATGTTTAAAGGTGTGACTTACTTTCAGTCGGTGTGGCATTCTCTGAGCTCAAAATTGGGACTCTTTAAGAATGCCAGAATGCGAGAGAACATTCTGGATGAACTCATCTCTTTACAAAAAGAAGAACAGAGGCCGAGGAAGTCAAGCAGTTTATGCCAAAGTCTCTGGGACAACTCAGTGGTTGAGACACAACTGGAACCCGAGGCTTCTGGCCTTCAGTCTGGGATGAAGGTGCCTCTCCAACTCCCCCACACCCCACTGAAGGCACAATTCCAACCAATGTTTAAAAACTTAGAAGAACAGTATCCTTGAACTGTTGGAGAGGTGGTAAATTCTACTTTCCCATGGCCCGCCTACCTCTTGTTAGTCTATCGATGACACTTGCACATGATTTATCCTGTTAAAAAAAAACATTAACAAGCAAAGCAAGCTAGAGAAACCCCCTAATGGCAGGAATTTAAACATTTGCCCACCACTAGAGCAAATAAATATGCACATAGCTGCATTCCTCCCTTCTCCTTTGTTCAAGAAGCAGAAAAAAATAAGGCCAAAAGAGAGCACTTGGGAAATGGGTCACTGGGATTGCAAAAAGGGATGTTCCACTTAGCCATTCAAAATGTGTCTTGCTAATTAAGAACATGTACTTGGTAACAGGGTCTACCTTTATGACAAATTTACAGACAGATCCAGAAATAGATCAACCAAGGTAATCCAGAGACAAGCCTCAATGTCCTAAGAGAGGGAGGGGTGCCAACTGACCCAGCAAAAGGTCTGGGAAAGCAGAGATACCCCCAACTGTGTTCAATTAAAAGTTCTCTCCCACAGCAACCAGAGCCAGCCAGTGCTCAGACAGAAACTTATATGGAATTTACTCATCTTGCTTGACAATAATCTCCGGTCCCTCCTGGGCTCAAGTGCTTTCTGCAGCAATGTTAGGTGGCATTTATTCACTCCTGAAGTATACATTCAACAAATATTTGCTGCAGGAGGACCTGTTCTGAGAAGTGGGGATACCACATCTACAACTCAGAGTTCCTATGCCCATGGAGCACATCCTGGTCAAGCACCCCGACTATGCTGGGCATCTCTCGGCGTCCTCCAAGAACCCGAAGCCATTAAGTGTTACTAACCCCTTTGTTGGAGATCCTGAGGCTCAGAGTGAGAAAATAACTTGCCACAAATCCATGGTAAATGGCAGATTCAGGAGTGGAACCCAGGTGAGCAGGACCTCAGAGTATTCATCCACAAACCTTAATCATCCCTGCCTCAATTAAGAAAGGAGACTGCTTGATTGTACCCTTGACTGAAAGCTTCCTCTCCCTCTTTGTTGGAGGTCCCCAAGAGCACCCCAATTGTGAAGATTTGCTAAGAGGACTCACAGGACTCAGCATATACTTGTACTCACAGGCACAATGTATTAGAGCAAAAGGTTACAGAGCAAAAATAGCATGGAAAAAGGTGCATGGAGTAAAGTCTGGGGGAAACCAGGTGCAAGCTGTCAAGCGTCCCAACTATTTATCCTAAAACAGACCTGCTATTTCAACTTTTTTCTGCACACCTTTCTGTTAGAAAAGCTGATCTGTGCAAATGGCCAAAGGGAGTTGGAAGCAGACAAAGCCAGAAGTATAGATGAAACCCTCCCTGAAAGAAGAATGGATGAATTTGTAAAACAGACTATATGGAGGATTTTTTTGGTGGGAGTGAATAGGGACACGGGTAGGGGCTGGGTGATTTCATTATGAAAGAGGTTTGGAAAGGGGAAAGCACTGGCACCAGCATCAGAGGACCTAAGGCTCTGTTTGACTTAAGGTCAATTCCTATCGCTAACGAGCTGTGTGACTGTGGCCAAGTCACTTAACCTCTCTGGTTTTCTCATCTGTAAAATGAGACGAAAGCTGAATTAGATAAACCTCTAATGGTCTTTCTGTCTCTGATAGCATCTGGTTTTATAACTGACTAGAGATTTTCTTTAAAATGGAAAGATTCCCTGGTGAATTTAGAAAATGACTCAATTCCACACAGCTTTCAGGAGCACGTGTATCACAAAGTGAGACTCATCTATGGATTCTTTAGCTAAAGGAAAAGGAAAGTGTGTGTTGGAGGGAAAGAGAGCATTTCTCAGCCAAGTGGCCAATTTGCGGTTTCAGTTCCCTTAGGAGGCGTTTGGAAATTCAGCATTCCTTGGTTCTACCAGTTTTTACCTCACTCAGGAAAAGGGAGTTGGATGGGCTGGTTTGGGAAGCTGGTGGTGGTCACAGAAGTCACTGCAGACACTTTGGGGTAATTTTCTCCAAGTCATCCAGCTAAAGTGTTGGGGTCAAGTCTATGAAGCTCTCTGGTAGCCCCAGCTCATGATCTAGCATTTCCTTGTAGTGGTACTAAGAGACAAGACAATAGTACTCAGTGGGCTGGGAGGAACTGTTTATTTTCCTTCCTTTTATTCTATTGATTGATTGTAAAGTCTAGCCTGCTTGGTAGAATTCATGCTAGCGCCAGGGTCTCTACTACAGACACTGATGTGTAACTGGCACTAGACAGGACTGGGGATTTTGACCAATATACATTTATCAAGCTCAATGGAGGAGGTGGAAGACTAAAAACAATTCAAAGTGGGATCCCGCCCTCACGGAACTTAGCATCTATTAAGGAGGGAGCGGAGTGCCATGGAAAGACCATGGGCTTTGGAAAGAGACCTGAGTTGACTACAGCCCAGCCCAATTGTTTACTAGCTATGTGGCCCTGGGCAAGAAACTTAACATTTGTAGCCTTAGTTTCCTTCTTCGTAAAATGGCGGTAACAGAGTCCAACTGTTAGGGCTGAGATTATCTATATGAAGGTCTTGGCACAGTGGCCAGCAGTGCCTCTCTTCTGTATTCGATGTAAATGGCACCCCCTGAAGTTTTGCGATGTGCACCCCTGGCCCATCTTACTACACAATACTGTGTATTGTGTAGTAAGTGCTCAATACACAGTAGCTGCTATTATGACTGTCTCTAATGTTACCATGTGGGTACATCAGAGCTGGGATAGAATTCAGGTCATTCCCAGATATGAGCATGATTCACTGAAACAGCACCATGTGAATTACAATTTGAACAACTGGAAACCTCTGGCCTGGCTAGACTGGTGAGGGCGTTCTAGACAGACAGAAAAGTGTGCCTGAAAGGTGGGAAACCAAGGATTGTTCAGAGGTGCCTATGGGTGCATGTGGTGAACAGATCAGACCTCGGAGAACTTTCCATGTCCAGTAAGAGATTCAGCTTTATGCTACTGGCAATGAGGGGCTATTGTGTGTTTGAACACAGACAGCAAGACAAGCAGGACTGGGCTTTCAGTGACAAGGACTGGAGGTCAGGAAGGCTCATTAGAAAGCTACTGCAAAAGCAGGAGGTAGAGAGAAGGCCAGAATTTGGGCATGGGCATTCAGCTTCAACAAGGGATCTTTCTTTCTTTCTTTCCTTTTTAATTTTTTATTTATTTATTTTTTTGAAACAGAGTCTTGCTCTGTTGCCCAGGCTGGAGTGCAGTGGCTCAATCTTGGCTCACGGCAACCTCTGCCTCCTGGGTTCACACCATTCTCCTGCCTCAGCCTCCCAAGTAGCTGGGACTACAGGCGCCCGCCACCACGCCCGGCTAATTTTTTTTGTATTTTTAGTAGAGATGGGGTTTCACTGTGTTAGCCAGGATGGTCTTGCCTTTTTTATTTTTTTTTAAAGAGACAAGGTCTCGCTCTACCACCCACGCTGGAGTGCACTGGTACAATTATAACACACGGCAGCCTGGGACTCCTGGGTGCAAGTGATCCTCCCACCTCAGCCTCCTGGGTAGCTGGGACTACAGGCGTGTGGTACCACGCCTGGCTAATTTTTAATTTTTTTGTAGAGATGAGGTCTCACTTTGTTGCCCTGGCTGTTCTCAAACTCCTGGCCCCAAGTGATCCTGCTGCCTCAGCCTCCCAAAGTGTTGAGATTACACGTGTGAGCCACTGTGCCTGCCTTCAACAGGGAATCTTTAAAGAGTAATATTCATGCCTCATTTATGGAACAAATATTGTTCTCAGTTCTCAGATACCGGTGTCCAAGACAGACACAGCCACTAGGAGGCAACATTGTTCTTCCCTAGAGATGGGACACCACACAGTCCCCAGGTAAACGATACCCCCTGCAGCCTGGTGGATAGTTCAAGAAAGCTGTTTTGGGGAATGAAAAAGGACACCCCACCTTCCACCTCATCCTACCACACTCCCTATTCCACCGTTCACGCCTGCCCTGGCCTGGTGAATGCCAAAGCAATGCTGTAAGAGAGACCCAGGGCTTTAGCCCTCAATTCAGCCACATTCATGAGTCATGAGTCATGAGGAACATGAGTCATGAGGAACAGTCATGAGGAACACATTCATGAGTCATGAGGAACAGACGCAGAGCCTCAATGGGGCCCCAAGTCAGCAAGGGATGCACCTGCCCCAGCACTTCTGGAAGCTCTGGCACTGTGTTCAGTGCCCTCATACCCTGGTCACCAAGCCCCAGGAGATGGTTTTCTACCCAATTACCAACTGAGACAAACGTGGCAGGACACTACAGCGCTGGGAGCCACAGACCCTGGCCACCAGCCCAGAAGCAGACTCACAGCTCTGACATTTTCAACAGGTAGATAGGAGCAGCGAACAGATTCAAACTCCCTCTCATCCTCATCTCTCACCAGCTGGACAACACTGCTGTGCAGGGACAGCGTCTCAGACACAGACGGTGCTTCTTGAATCATTTGTCTTTCTGGGGCCTTCCAAGTTGGGTTATTTTGTCCTATCCTTTCTAGCGACTGCATACTGATACTTTCTTTCCCCTTTTTCTCTTGCTTCCTGCCAACTTAACTTTATCCAGGATGGTCTTTGCATTTGTTGTGCCCACAACTCTCCAACCGCTATTCTTTTGTAGATTTTATCTGACAGATTTCATTTTACCTTCTGCACAGGCATCTGACCATCCCCTGACGTCTGATGTCTTCTCCCCTCCCAGGCCTGAGTGCCTGATCATTCCCTCAAGAATCTTGCAGAAAGGCCATCTTCCCTGGCTACTCCCAAATGGAGTTCAAAGCTCCCCTTTTCTGCTACCTTGGTACTCAACAGAACTCATCATGTGGGCATGAGTCTGTCCCTCTTCTTAGATAAGGAGTTTCCAGACGCTGTGGCCAGGTGTTCTCTCTTTATCATCCCAGTGTGCGACATGGGGCCTGGTTCATCATACGTATCAACACAGTTGGCTAAATGGATGGATGCACAAGGTAGACTGAATGAAGGACCATTTCACTAACTTCATTTGTCTCTCCTAGAGCAGCTGCCACCACCATCTGTTACAAAACCTTCAAACTGAAATGTTACTTCAATTCCTTTCCAACACTTTCTGCCTACCCAAGCCAGGGGATGCCTCCTTCACAGAGCTGGTCATCTGTGGGTAGCAGAAGACAAGTGAATGCACCATGTCCCTCAGACCTTTGAAGATATAGCTTGGGAGTCTTGCTGGGGTAAAGTGGTCCTGGCTCCATTCCCTGGCTGCTTCATGTTCCCAAGGGTCATACAAAGACCCAGAGTCTGAGACTGCAGAAAACCCCAAGACGGCCCTATCTCCTTCTCCTTGGCTGTCACTCAGATTCCCACCCAAACCTCCTCCAACTCCATGACTCTAAACACAGGATAGACTGAAGCATTCCCTTCTAGTTCTACTGGTAAATATAACTGTCAGAAGATTTTTCCAAAAGCAGGCAGTGAGAGAAAAATCATAAAGGCAGCAAAGTCCTCGTTAGGGAATAGAAAAGTTGGATTTGCCACCAAATGAACCGAGATGCCCCTACAGTCACCCCAGAAAATACACCCTGAGTGTATCGAGATAGTCATCTGAGCACTCGCAGATGTCTCCTTCCCGCTTCCAGATCCCTAAAGTGACAGGGCAGGGGTTAAAACACAAAGATCACAGGGTTGAGAACCAAGGAGAGGACCATCACTGGGCTCCTTTTCTAAAATCCCTATGCTAGATATATAACATTTATTTAATAAGAAAAACAGAAACAATGAAAACAATCTGGCCAGGTGTGGTGGCTCACGCCTGTAATCCCAGCATTTTGGGAGGCCGAGGTGGGCAGATCACTGAGGTCAGGAGTTCAAGACCAGCCTGGCCAACATGGTGAAACCCCGTCTCTACTAACAATACAACCATTAGCCGAGGCTGGTGGTGGGTGCCTATAATCTCAGCTACTCGCAAGGCTGAGGCAGGAGAATCGCTTAAACCTGGGAGGTGGAGGTTGCAGTGAGCCAGGATTGCACCACTGCACTCCAGCCTGGGCAACACAGTGAAACTCTGTCTCAAAAGAAATAAAAATAAAAATAAAAAACAACTAATGGAAAAAAGGAAAAGAAATAAAGGCCCAGGCAATAAAGACTCAAGCTGGTGGCTCACCCTTGTAATACCACAGGGCATATGCAAAGTCAGGTATTGCTTTGCAGTGATGTAAGAGGTCAGAATCACAGGAGTCTGGCAACTGCAGTGTCAGATACATCATACCACAGCCCCATGAGGAGATATTCTGAAACACTGATTGTTTTAGGAATTGTTAATAACTTGAGAATGTGTACATGATACTATGTGTAGGGGGTTGAACTGTGTCCCTCAAAAGTTATGTCCATGTTCTAACCCCTGGTGCCTGTGAATATGACTTTATTTGGAAAACGGGGTCTCTGCAGATGTAATTGAGTTAAGGAACTTTAGATGAGATCATCTTGCATTTAGACTTGACCCTAAGTCAAATGACTGGTGTCCTTTTAAAAGTAAATAGAGGGGCCGGGTGTGGTGGCTCATGCCTGTAATCCCAGCACTTTGGGAGGCCGAGGCGGGTGGATCACAAAGTCAGGAGATTGAGACCATCCTGGCTAACATGGTGAAACCCTGTCTCTACTAAAAATACAAAAAAATTAGCTGGGTGTGGTGGTGGGTGCCTGTAGTCCTAGCTACTCGGGAGGCTGAGGCAGGAGAATGGCATGAACCAGGGAGGCGGAGCTTGCAGTGAGCCGAGATCATGCCACTGCACTCCAGCCTGGATGACAGAGCAAGACTCCGTCTCAAAAAAAAAAAAAAAAAAAAAAAAAAAAAAAAAAAAAGTAAATATGGGGGCCAGTCATGGTGGCTAACGCCTGTAATCCAGCACTTTGGGGGCCAAGGTGGGTGGGTCACTCGAGGTTAGGAGTTGGAGACCAGCCTGACTAACACGGTGAAACCCTGTCTCTACTAAAAATACAAAAATTAGCTGCATGTGGCAGTATGCATCTGTAGTCTCAGCTATTCAGGAGGCTGAGGAGAGAGAATCACTTGAAGCTGGGAGGCGGAGGTTGCAGTGAGCCAAAACCACGCCACTGTACTCCAGCCTGGGTGACAAAGCAAGATTCCATCTCAATCAATCAATAAAATAAAATAAAATAAAATAAAGTAGAGGGAAATTTGGGACACAGAGACAAGAAATCTTGGGACTCCGGGGAGAATGCCAGGTGAAGACGGAAGCAGAGATTGCAGGGATGCGTCTACAAGCCAAGAAATGCCAAGGATTGCTGGAAGCTGCCAGAACCTAGGAGAAAGGTATGCAGTGAATTTTCCCTCAGGGTCCGCAGAAGGAACAAACCCTGCTGATGCCTTGATTTGGACTTCTCTTCTGAACTGTACGAGAATAACTGTCTGTTTTTTTAAGCCACCAAATCTGTAGTAATTTATGCAGCCTGAGGAAACCAATATACAATATACTATGATATGTAGAAGCAGCTTATATAGCTCTTTACAGGATAATCTCAATTATATGGTATGAAAAGGATGGACAATGGGTGTATATTACTCCTATAAAGAGAGAAAAGGTTATGAGAAACATACAAAAAGTTTGCCATCTCTTATCACTGATGGATTATCTAAAAGCAAAGCCTTGCTGCCATGTAGCAGTTCTTACTTTCATCGGACATTTGATATTCAAAATAATCCAGGGAGGTAAGTGCACAGGGTGACATTATTCTGATTTTATGGGTGACAACTTGAGTTGGAGTGTGATCAGGAGGCTGAGCAGTGACTGAGTCTGAATAAGAATTTAGGTCTTGGTGCTTCTCACCAGCACCCATTCATTTGGCTATTTACCTGGTGTTATGGGCTGAATTTTGTTCTCTCCTAAATTCCTGTGTTGAAGTCCTAACCTCCAACACTTTTTTTTTTCTTTTTTTTATTGATCATTCTTGGGTGTTTCTCGCAGAGGGAGATTTAGCAGGGTCACAGGACAATAGTGGAGGGAAGGTCAGCAGATAAACAAGTGAACAAAGGTCTCTGGTTTTCCTAGGCAGAGGACCCTGCAGCCTTCCGCAGTGTTTGTGTCCCTGGGTACTTGAGATTAGGGAGTGGCGATGACTCTTAACCAGCATGCTGCCTTCAAGCATCTGTTTAACAAAGCACATCTTGCACCACCCTTAATCCATTCAACCCTGAGTGGACACAGCACATGTTTCAGAGAGCACAGGGTTGGGGGTAAGGTCACAGATTAACAGGATCCCAAGGCAGAAGAATTTTTCTTAGTACAGAACAAAATGAAAAGTCTCCCATGTCTACCTCTTTCTACACAGACACGGCAACCATCCGATTTCTCAATCTTTTCCCCACTTTTCCCCCCTTTCTATTCCACAAAACCGCCATTGTCATCATGGCCTGTTCTCAATGAGCTGTTGAGTACACCTCCCAGACGGGGTGGTGGCCGGGCAGAGAGGCTCCTCACTTCCCAGTAGGGGCGGCCGGGCAGAGGCGCCCCTCACCTCCCGGATGGGGTGGCTGGCTGGGCGGGGGGCTGACCCCCCCACCTCCCTCCCAGACGGGGCGGCTGGCCGGGCAGAGGGGCTCCTCACTTCCCAGTAGGGGTGGCCGGGCAGAGGCACCCCTCACCTCCCGGATGGGGCAGCTGGCCGGGCGGGGGGCTGACCCCCCCCCACTTCCCTCCCGGACGGGGCGGCTGGCGGGTGGGGGGCTGACCCCCCCACCTCCCTCCCGGACGGGGCAGCTGGCCGGGCGGGGGGCTGACCCCCCCACCTCCCTCCCAGATGGGGCAGCTGGCCGGGCGGGGGGCTGACCCCCCAACCTCCCTCCCGGACGGGGCGGCTGGCCGGGCAGAGGGGCTCCTCTCTTCCCAGTAGAGGCGGCCGGGCAGAGGCGCCCCTCACCTCCCGGACGGGGCGGCTGGCAGGGCGGGGGGCTGACCCCCCCACCTCCTTCCGGGACGGGGCGGCTGGCCGGGCAGAGGGGCTCCTCACTTCCCAGTAGGGGCGGCCGGGTAGAGGCGCCCCTCACCTCCCGGACGGGGCGGCTGGCCGGGCGGGGGGCTGACCCCCCCACCTCCCTCCCGGACGGGCGGCTGGCCGGGCGGGGGGCTGACCCCCCCACCTCCCTCCCGGACGGGGCGGCTGGCCGGGCGGGGGGCTGACCCCCACCTCCCTCCCGGACGGGGTGGCTGCCGGGCGGAGACGCTCCTCACTTCCCAGACGGGGTGGCTGCCGGGCGGAGGGGCTCCTCACTTCTCAGACGGTGTGGCTGCCGGGCGGAGGGGCTTCTCACTTCTCAGACGGGGCAGTTGCCAGGCAGAGGGTCTCCTCACTTCTCAGACGGGGCGGCCGGGCAGAGACGCTCCTCACATCCCAGACGGGGCGGCAGGGCAGAGGCGCTCCCCACATCTCAGACGATGGGCGGCCAGGCAGAGACGCTCCTCACTTCCTAGATGGGATGGCGGCCGGGCAGAGACACTCCTCACTTTCCAGACTGGGCAGCCAGGCAGAGAGGCTCCTCACATCCCAGATGATGGGCGGCCAGGCAGAGACACTCCTCACTTCCCAGACGGGGTGGCGGCCGGGCAGAGGCTGCAATCTCGGCACTTTGGGGGGCCAAGGCAGGCAGCTGGGAGGTGGAGGTTGTAGCGAGCCGAGATCACGCCACTGCACTCCAGCCTGGGCACCATTGAGCACTGAGTGAACGCAACTCTGTCTGCCATCCCGGCACCTCGGGAGGCCGAGGCTGGCGGATCACTCGCGGTTAGGAGCTGGAGACCAGCCCAGCCAACACAGCGAAACCCCGTCTCCACCAAAAAAATACGAAAACCAGTCAGGCGTGGTGGCGCGCGCCTGCAATCGCAGGCACTTGGCAGGCTGAGGCAGGAGAATCAGGCAGGGAGGTTGCAGTGAGCCGAGATGGCAGCAGTACAGTCCAGCTTCGGCTCGGCATCAGAGGGAGACCGTGGCAAGAGAGGGAGGGGGAGGGGGAGGGGGAGGGGGAGAGGGAGAGGGAGAGGGAGCCTCCAACACTTTAGAATGCGACTGCATTTGGAGGCAAGGTCTTTCGAGAAGTGATTAAGCTAAAATGAGGTTTTTGTTTTGTTTTGTTTGTAGGGTGGGCTCTAATCTAATGTGAAGACATAGCAAGGAGATGCCATCTACAAGCCAAAAAAAAGGGGTGCTGGGAGAAACCAGACCTGCTGACACCTTGTGCTTGGACTTCCGGCCTCCAGAACAGTGAGCAGATGCATTTCCGTTATTTAAGCCACCCAGTCTGTGGTATTTTGTTAGCAGCCACAGCCAACTAATACACTTAGGAAGGCTGGAACACACAGTCTCCATACCTGTTTCTCTTTTTCCTGTGGCATTCTCCCTGGGCTCAAACAGGAAGTGGGAAAATACATAATTTCCAGGTACAGGATCCTCCTGCCCAATGAGGTTATTTCTGAGCTAACAACAGCCAAGACTTTTGGCAAGTCTATTTTTGGAAGAAGGTCCGCCCTGAACCGTGGAGAAAGAGAGTGGTCAAAGCCACATTCACCTGATGTGCCAGCTTCTTCTGGTTTCTCATTCAAGGCCACCACGGGAAAGAGGTAGAGGACGCCAGGCCTTGGGTTTCCTTTCTGGCCAGGGAGTTCTTTGTGACTTTTAAGCAGGGGAAGCAAGGCTGCCGGAGACAGCGCGTTGTGCCTGGGGAACAGGTTCACAGGCTCACAGACAGAATTGGGTTCAGATGCTGGTTCTGATCACTCCTAGGTGACCCCAGGCAAAATGCTTTCCCAGACTGAGACTCAATGTCCTCATCTGTAAAGTGAAGTTAACCCCACCCGCCTCACTGGTGAATATGCATCTGCAATGTTAAGCACTTAGCATAGTGCCTACCACATAGTACGTGTTTAATCAATGTTTGTTATGTATATTAATGAAAAGGTTCACCAATTTGGCTCCTTTTTCAAATGTACCTAAATCCCATTGGGGTGGTTTGCCTCTTTTCCCCTGGGTTCCATGAGCCTGGGAGCTGGATTTTTGCGTGACTGCACAGTGCTTTCAGATTTCCAATTGTTTTTTCCTTCAATATTTAAAAATCAAGAGCTTTCACACAGAAATTCCAACCTCTGGCTCCTTTAGATAACCTGGAAGAGGTAGTAATGCAGAAAGCGCCCTCCTGCTTGAAAATGCCTGGCTGCAGCTGGGTTGGGGGCTTCCCTTTGGTGTGGCACGTGCCCTCCAATGAGTGTGAGTCTCACTTCACCGGCTGCACCGGGTGCACCACTGCCCCTCCCACCTGGCTTCTTTTAGACGTTTGTGCTTAAGACTAAGTGCAGGAGGCGGGGGCGGGAACCAGACAGTGGGTTCAGCATGCACTGTGGATCAAGTAACCGAATCCTCTTCCACTCAGACTAAAGGGCTAAGAGGTGCTGAAGGTTGAGGACATCCAGACTTCATGAGGAGCCAGGTTTAAGGCTGGTAGGTGAACAGTTGTCCTAGTAAGAATTCAACCTCAAAATTTCACCAGCAGCTACTAAACGGAATATGATGACAAATCACAAACACACAGCAGAACTACAGAGTAGGAACAAACAGGCACATGGATATTCTTGTGTCTATGTCTTCTTCAGCTCACTTAATACAGCTGGGATGTGTGAATGAGGGAGACTGCAGTCTACCCTTTCATCAGAGTAAAACCATCAGAGAGGTCAGAAACTAAGGAGTGACTCTAGTGTGTCACTGCATTCAGAGTGTCCCAAATGGAGGTCCACAGAGGCTGCTAAGGATGGGCACCATCTGTCCGGAAACCCCAGCCATGGCTGGATGGCTTCCCCAAAAGTGAAGAAGGGGGAGGCGACTGGAAGCAAGCAATAGTGGTTTATTTTTCCTTAGAAAATGGAACAAGTTAGCCTGCACATCCTGTCTGAGATTCAGGGAAAGGTCCCAATTGTATGGTTAAGGAAAAAAAAGAAAACAACCTCTGATACTGCAATTTCACAGAGCAGATCGATATTGCAGCTTAAATGGGAATTTATTGCCTTCAGAAATGCAGATGAGGCTATGCACTGTGTTTTAGCCTGCCTTCCACCCAACTATTCTGCTGACTTCCTGTGACCCTGGCTGCTCCAGCCAGCTACCTCTTCAGGTAATGGAGAGTGCTCCATTCAGAGCCTGCTTGTCTGCTCGGGCCGGGGGCACCTGGCTCACTCCACGTGTTGCCATAGAAACTACTTATTTGAACATGCCCTTCATCTATATGGGTTAGCGTACATCCCTTCTTCACCCATCCCTGTCTCCCTTTACTGACTGATTCCCTACTCCCACCCCCACCAAATTCTCCTATTCTGGCTACTGCCTAGACCAACGACCCAGTAAGCATGTACTAAAGTTGATCAGATGCACTACAAGATCAAACCCCAGACCTCAGGACAGGGATGGGGCTGTGGGTTTCCATTCAGGCAGCTGTCTCCATTTTCCCGGAGGGATGCATCCGCTTCCACATCCTCCCCAGCCTTCCAAGACGCACATAAAAATTCGATCCCTGCTTTCTCTTTACTTTTATCTCTGCTGTGTGCTCTGGGGAGTTTTTACAAAACAAACGAACATGAACTTCAAGGTATGGAGAGTGTAAATCACTGCAAACTCTCCCAAGCCTCCAAATGCTACAAAGCTACTTAGCCAAGGACCAAAGAAAAACTCGATAGGTGATTATTCTTATTAAATAAACATTATCCTGCCTTTGCATTGCTTCCTAGTTGACAGAGCATTTTCACATATATTACTGCCATCGAATCCCCATGACAGCCCATACAGGAAGCAGGGCTAGTACCACGCATATCTCCATTTTGGATGGAACCATTTTTTAAAATACAGACACACACGCACACCCCCACACGGAGAGAGAGAGAGAGAGAGAGAGAGAGAGAGAGAGAGAGAGAGAAAGCTCAACAGCACCCAGAATTAAAACCAGCTAGGATTTTGTCACATTTCCATTAATTATTTTTCACATTAGTAGTACCTTTCGGATAAGGCAAAGAAGGATGCTTTATCTACTTCAATTGCATTGCCTGCTCACCCCTCGTGCTCCTAGGTAATTATTTTCTTCAGTTTGTTTTGCAACCTGAAAGTCTATTTTTAATACTTTCATAGACACATTTCTATCTATGATAAATAAATAATATTGGTTTCCATATGCTTTTAAAGTGTACACAACGTCAGGCACGGTGGCTCACGTCTGTAATCCCAGCACTTAGGGAGGCCGAAGTGGGCAGATCGCTCGATCCCAGGAGTTCAGGACCAGCCTGGGCAACGTGGAGAGACCCCATCTCTACAAAAAATTAGCTGGGCATGGTGGCGCACACCTGTAGTCCCAGCTACTCAGGAGACTGAGGTGGGAGGATCGCTTGAGCCCGGGAAGTAGAGGCTGCAGTGAACCGTGATAGTGCCACTACACCCTAGCCTGGGTGACATAGTGAAACCCTGTCTCAAAAATTGATGTGCTGCATGGTATTCCATCACAGGATTTGTCAAATCCCCTACAGACAGGCATTTAGATGGTTTGTTAATTTTTCATCATTACCAACAATGAGGATATGAATGAGCGTATGCGCATCCTCTTCTACACAGGCCAAGGTATTCTCTGGTGTGAGAAGGGTCCTGCCATTTTGGTTTACTTTGCCCTGCCTACTAGAAGAAGTGCACATCCCCTCATAGGCTCATGGTTCACCAGATTTCCCCTTCTGCAAACTGCCCAGGTAAGTCTTCGTTAAGAACAAACATGCCATATTCAGAGGTAACAAACACAGCTTTCCAAGACAAAACAAATCATTTCCCTTGTCCTGCTCATCACTGCTGACTGTTCTTTTCATGGCTGCCAGAGGGAATATTTACTTTTCCCTAGCATGGTGCTTAGCCCAATAAGAGATATGTCATTTTCCAGAGCATCTCCAAGCATGTAAGGCTGACCTATTCTTGACTCAGCCTTCAGGGCTGCCACAGAAGAACCAATCAGTGCCCAGCTCTAAACCCACAGCACATTCACTTCGGCTGGATTCCTGCTGCCAAGCCTTCCAGGGGAAGAGAGGTTGCCCCCTATTCTTTCCATACTAGGTTCTTCCCAACATCCATTCTCAAAGGGCACTCCCACGCTATCCCTTCACCCTCGTCTCCTGGAGATAATTTAAACACAGGCCACAGACAGACAGAGACACCAACTGCCTTCTTGCTGCCCTCCCGAAACTGGCAGGGTTTGGTGGTTTATGGGGAAGCGCACAGGTTTGGACTCATCAGCTGTGTGACTACGGGTAAGTTACTTACCCGCTCTGAGCCTCAGATATCTTTCCTGTTAAGATGAGGGTTGTTGTAAGAATTAGAGAAAATATACATGAAGCGACTGAAAAACATCAGGTGCTCAATTCATGGCAACCAACAGCAAGCCAGGAGGCTCTTGTTAAAAATCAATACAGCAAACAAGGATCTGCTCTGTGGAGACAGAGAAGTTACAATGTGGTCCAAACTCTTTAACAGTGAGACCTGAATGGGGAGACAAAATGAAGACACACACAGACCAAAGTTGGGATCATCTATAATTGACGGATGAATTATGCGGACTGGAACTGAAGTCTTCATGGAGAAGGCAGGATGTTAAGTTGGGTCTGCCCCCACTCCCAGGGGACATTTGGCAAGGTCTTAGAGACATTGTTAGTTGTCACAACTTAGGGACCAGGGTGCTACTAGTATCTAATGGATAGACCTCAGAGATGCTGGCTAACATTCTATAATGCAACAAAGAGTTTGCCAGTCCAAAAGACCAGCAGTATCAAGCTAAAGGAACCCTGAGTAGGGCCACAAAGAGAGAAGAGCATTCCAGGCAGGCTGGCAGCACAGGGATAGCAGGGAGTAGAAGTGAGAGTTGCATTTTCCTGAGATTATAAGGACATTTATCTGGCTTAAGCCAAGGCCACCAGCTAGGGCATAATGGGTGGGAGAAGAAAGGGTAGGCAAGGTGTGTATAGGTAAACAGTCAGGTTCCCTATTACATAGGGATTACATGTTACCCTATTACTGTGCTCTCTGCACAGGCAGGACTCACAGAATCAGAGAAGGTTAACTAGAAAACACCATCCAGACCAAGGGTCTTAAACTTTCTACCACCACAAATCTTCAATGTCCACCTACCCCTCAAACCCCCCAAGCATCACATGTTCTGACAACTGCCATCTTCTAAACCAGAGGCATTTTCCAAGTAAGATGTGTAAGGGCAGCTTGGTAGCAAAATCTGTCACCAAAATGCAGCTATTAAATACTAATTAATATGATTCCCATTTTTAACTAATCATAAACAAATGTCACTGCCAAACCAAGCCTCTGACCTCCATGAGATAATGGGTGTTGCTATGAAGTTGGAGTGAGTCCAGTCAAAGGCAAAGACATCAGGCACTTCTAATTAATACTGAAAATAGTCTGAGAGCCACCTCCACCAATATGTTTGTCAAGACCTTACTTTGGGACTCTTTGATTTGGTCAAACTACTTTACTGCACAAAAGATAAAAGAGACTATCAATAAAAACTAACTGATCTATTCCCGCATCATGTGCCAGGCACTGTGCTAGGCACGACACACATTATCTCATTTAATCCTCCCAACCACCCAAGGAAGTAGGTACTATTAGCAATCCCATTTACTTGCCTTTCAGAAATGTTATGGTCACAAAGTTAAGAAAGGTGAGAGTCAGGATTTGAACCCAGATCTCTCTGAATCCAGAGCCCATGTTCTTGCCCACAAGGCAATAGATGGTTCCCTTGCAGAGGACAGCCTGCTGGTGTCACTGCCAGCCTTGGACCCAACTCCCTGATCTTCAAGCACTCAGGGTGATGCACCTCAAATGCAACAGATTAAAGGGCCCCTGAGTTACGTATGGCCCAGTAAATTCCACCCTTAAGATGTGGTTTGACTTTTAAAAAAACTGAACACTTTCCTCTTATCTCATGTTAAAAAATAATGAGCACAGCTGAACTAGAGACGTCTGTGAATACAGACAAAACAGTTACCCATCACAGAAGCAAATAAATATGTAAATGGTTACCCATTCCTCTGCTCACTCTGCCTTCATCTCTGCAGCAGGGAAGAGCGGCAGCAACGGCGTTTTTCAAGAAGTGGTTTAGGATTATGTGGTGGAATTACTATTTATCTATTCAAAATATAAGGCTTGCTAATTAGGTCATAATGGTACTCATCTATCATGTGAATTTGGAGCATATACTGTATTGATCTACAATGTTGTCCACGGGCACAATGTGCTTATTAATACCAGCTTAGCTGTGCCGAGCTGTTCTCATGAAACTTCAACCTCCTGGAAACCAATTTAAGTCATCCAGGCTGACTGCAGATGAGTGGCATGTTGCTATTACACTGTTTCCATTAGGACTGCTAGACTTGAATGCTTCACCTTCAGAATCTTTCCCCTGGATTTTGTCCAGAGTTCCCAAATTGCAGAGGATCTGCTAATTCTGATGAGAGGTTACAGATAAAATGAACTCATGAGATTATGTCATTAGAAGTTGGTTGGGTAAAAACTGAACTTGTAGGTATGTGAATTGAGCCCTACATCTGAAAAGGTGTTCAGGCAGGCAAAGGATATTAAATGTTCTGGCTACCCCAGCAGGTGTCAGAGATGTCCCTTATTTACATACACAAACAGTGACAGAATGGTCCCATCACAAATCCATTTCCTGGTCAACCTCAGTTCAGGTTGCTGGCCAGTGACAAATGAGGCTTAGCATGGCTGCGTTATGTTCCATGGACCTCTTCCTAATATCTATGCTGAATTCTGGCCCTGCCAGAATTTGCTAGTTGTAGGGCTTTGGGTAACTGTGTTAGGCTGTTCTTGCATTGCTATAAAGAAATACCTGAGTCTGGGTAATTTATAAACAAGAGGTTTAGGCTGGGTGCGGTGGCTCATGCCTGTAATCCCAGCACTTTGGGAGGCTGAGGCAGGTGGATCACTCGAGGCCAGGAGTTTGAGACCCACTTGGCCAACATGGCAAAACCCTGCCTCTACTAAAAATACAAAAATTAGCCAGCTGTGGTGGCACACACCTGTAATCCCAGCTACTCAGGAGGCTGAGGCACAAGAATTGCTTGAACTCAGGAGACAGGGGTAACCGTGAGCTAAGATCGCGCCACTGTACTCCAGCCTGGGTGACTAAGACTCTGTCTCAAAAAAAAAAAAAAGAGGATTAGTTGGCTCACAGTTCTGCAGGCTTTACAAGAGGCATGGTGCAGGCATCTACTCAGCTTCTGGGTGGGCCTCGGGAAACTTTCCATCATGGCAGAAGGTGAAGGAGGAGCAGGCATGTCACATGGTGAAAGCAGAAGCAAGTAAGACAGAGTCTGGCGGGAGGTGCCACACACTTTTAAACAACCATATCTCAAGAGAACTCACTATCATAGAGACAGCACCAAGCCATGAAGGATCCGCCCCCATGATCCAAACACCTCCCACCAGGCCCCACCTCCAGCACTGGGGATTACAATTCAACGTGAGATTTGGGCAGGGACAAATAACCAAACTGTATCAGTAACTTACTTTACTTCTCTGTACACTGGCCTCAATTGTGAAATAGGAAAAACAGGATCTACCTTGTGGGGTTGTTGTGAAGTCTACCTAAGACAGTGTATATGAAACATCTGGTGCACAGTGGGCACTCAGGCTTTTATGCCTCAACTTAATCCTTCTGAGATAGGCCAGCATGCCCCCTGCAGCACACATTCATGAAGGCCAATCGGCATAGAGCACAGGACTCAGTGTACACAGATTCATGTGCACAGATGAACTGGGTTATATAGAAGGAATATCTTATCCTGAAGGAATAATGCTAGCAGGTCCTTCAGAGCTAGAGTGTTGGTAGTGTTGATCCACGAGATGTAACTCCAAGAAATAATTCCTTGGTTGGGTACTTTTGGAAAATGCCAAATACTGTATCTCCCACTTAGGGATTTATTTTTTCTTCTTCTTTTTTTGAGATGGAGTCTCACTCTGTTGCCTGGGCTGGAGTGCAGTGGTGCTATCTCGGCTCACTGCAACCTCTGCCTCCCGGGTTCAAACGATTCTCCTGCCTCAGCCTCCTGAGTAGCTGGGATTACAGGTGTGCACCACCACACCCAACTAATTTTTGGATTTTTAGTAGAGACGGTGTTTCACCATGTTGGCCAGGCTGGTGTTGAACTCCTGGCCTCAAGTGATCCGCCCGCCTCGGCTTCCCAAAGTGCTGGGGTTACAGCGTGAGCCACCGTGCCCAACCCCACTTACGGATTTCTAAAGCATCCAAGACTTGTAGTAGTTCCAAAACAAAGAAATCTGTTTGACTTCATTTTACCTGGGGTTTTTCATGCTTTTTAAATCACTGTTTTGGGAGATGGGTAGGTGATGCCATGAAGGAGTTTATCATTTTAAACACTCAGGATAATGAGAAGACTCAGAATGGGAACAGAAGGCAGGAAGAAGGAAAGCAAGGTCAGAATTGTTGCCACCCCTCAAGGCTTAGGGGCCAGAAATAACAACTCTCCAGAATCTTCCCAAACCCCAGCCATGGGGAAAGGGCAAAAAGCCAGCAATCAATCTTTCAAGAATCAAAATGCACAGAACTGGAATGCAGAGGCACGACTTTTCCCAGACATTTCCCTGGACTTCTGGCTTTGATCTGAAAGACCAGAGACAAGCCACAGCAAAACTCTGTGCTTATTAAACCGTGTGTTTAAATGATTTATACAGAAAAGTTGAGAGGCTGCATCTCCAGGCTGAGTCAAAAGAAGGTGGAAGCTCAGTTATCCCAAGTATCCACCAAACATCACTCTTCTTTTGCTGCACCTACAACAGTGAGGAAGAGGAGGGAAAGAGAGAGGGGAAACAGGGAAAATGGAGAAAAGAAGGGTGCTGAGAGTGGAGAACTGGGGACATAAGAGTAACCAGGAGAGAAACCTAGAGGCAGGGGAGCTGGAAGAAGTCATTAGTGTTTCACCCCCTTTAATACCCTCATGGTACCAGGCAGATGATACCTCCTGGTCCCCAGAGAGCCGGCAGCACCCACCACCAACTTGCCAATTCTGAGCTATTCTTCCTGCTGCAGATCAAAAGACAGACTTCCCAGCAAGAGGGGAGGTTCTCAAAAGCAAGTTAAACATAACTGCAACTGAATGAGCCCAAGAGGGAATGAATGATTCCATTTCTCAATGAGGTCCGTAACAGATGCCCAATGTGGCTGCAGCTACCTTCAGCTGAAAGGCTGGGCTCAGGCTTGCAAAAACTACACTGCTGCCTTCTCCATGAGATGTGAAGGGGGCCTACAAGAGTTCCCTCGAACAAAAATGCCATATCTCATTTCCCACACACCACTGTTAAGATGATATGTAAAATTCCCTCTCAAAGCTTGAGAGCTCTGGATGAAGAAACCACTTCCTTCAGACATGCAAATGCTGCAGACCCTATGGAGTGAGAATCTATGATTAAGCAGCCTAAGACATGACAGGAAAAATAAGATCAGGAAAACTCGATTTTTACAGGAACTGATAAAAGTGCTTATTAATATCATTAGTGCTTATTAATACCTAATGACAACAGACACTGCATATTAAGGAGACTATCAGTAACACTTTACACATCTTAAAATTGCAATCATTAGGAGTGTACAATGCATTTCAATGTATCCCCCTGCTTTCTGGAAGCTTCTCCGGATCTCCCTTTTCAGTTTCCATAAGATGCTGATGTTATGATTTTTGCCTTGTAGGAGGTAACTTGCAGACAAACAAGATTTTTTCCCCAGTGTCTGGTTGCCCATCCAAATGTCTGATGTCCTTCTGATTTTATCTCCATTCCTGTTATACTTGATCCAAAATTATCTGGGTCGCTATGCATGCATGTGTGTGTATGTGTGTGTATACATACATGTTATATATATATATACTTGGAAATCTGAAAGAGGGAAGAAGGAACAAAGCCAGATTTTTCTCAGCTTTCAGTTCTTTCAACTAGAACAGACATTTAAGAACCCACACCCAAGCAGAACTGGACCATTTTATCCTTCGATGTAGAAAATGGGCCGGGCGCGGTGGCTCATGCCTGTAATACCAACACTTTGGGAGGCTGAGGCAGGCGGATCACAAGGTCAGGAGATCAAGACCATCCTGGCTAACACGGTGAAACCCTGTTTCTACTAAAAATACAAAAACAAAATTAGCCAGGCGTGGTGGCAGGCGCCTGTGGTCCCAGCTACTCGGGAGGCTGAGGCAGGAGAATGGCGTGAACCCAGGAGGCGGAGCTTGCAGTGAGCTGAGACACAGCCTAGGTGACAGAGCAAGACTCCGTCTCAAAAAAAAAAAAAAAAAAGAAAAGAAAAAGAAAACGGACTTGGGCTGGGCATGGTGGCTCATGCCTGTAATCCTAGCACTTTGGGAGGCTGAGGCAGGAGGACTGCTTCAGCCCAGGAGTTTGAGACCAACCTGGAAAACAGAGCAAGACCTTGTCTCAGTTTTTTCCAAAAGAAAAGAAAAGAAAAGAAAAGAAAAGAAAAGAAAAGAAAGGAAAAGAAAATGGACTCAGGCTGGGCATGATGGCTGACACCTGTAATCCCAGCATTCTGGGAGGCTGAGACAGGAGGACTGCTTGAGCCCAGGAGTTCGAGACCAACCTGGACAACATAGCAAGGCCCCATCTCAACTAAAAAAAAGAAAAAAGAAAATGGACAAATGGACTTGGCCTTCTTAGGCCATAAGGAAGATGAATCATCACTGCAGGAGATGCCAGAAAATGCAAAAGGAGAGCTAAGTAAGTTTAAGTTTCCAGATAAAAGGTAAACAAAGGTAAAATTTAATGAGCACATACCATGGGCCAAACACTAGACAAGAGGCTGTTTTAATCAGTATCTCATTTATCCTCTCAAAATAAAAACCCCAAAACACTATAAAACTCATTCTATTATCCCCAAAAGGGGGGAACTGAGGCTGGGGAGAGGAAGTCACTTGCCCAGGGTCACGTGGCTGGGAAGCCACAGAGCTGAGGACCAAACTCAAACCTGCTGACTAACGTGGTGCTCTTCCCTCTGTATACACGGCCCCGCATGAGTACGTTACTTATGAGTGCGTTAAAACAAGCCAAAAACCCCACATGGGCTTAAACCGCTGCATTCACTTGACAAGCACTATGTAAGGTCCTCTCCTATCGGGACTGTAAGGCGCTCAAAAGTGATGTATGGATAGGAAGAAAAAACGCAACATCACCTGAAACCCGAATTAAAAATCCATGTGCTTCTGAGTCCTGAACAATTTCTCTATCACAAAATATTTACTGTGGCTTTGTGACCTTCGACAAACCACCCAACCTTTGTGTGCCCCAGTTTTCTCATCTATAAAACGGGGAAATAATGACACCTACTCCTTCTGGGTTGTTGTGTGATTTAACAAATTTTAAATATAAAGCACTAAGAACAGTGTTGGGCACACAGTCAACACTGTGTAAGTTTAGCCACGCTGCATTATTGCTCTTATTAGATAATCACACATCATTGAAGCATGTGTACACACACACACAGTCACACGTTTTCTTTTTCTCTTCTCTCACACAAAAACGGGTTATTGAGACACATTTTCCAACAAGAGACAGTGGACTTGGCAAAGGAGCCTCTTAATGCAGCCTCCTTTATTTTCCGTCTTCCGCTCTCCTTTATAAATAGGTTTGGCAAACTGATGCTTAATAGCTTAATATCGTGTTCATATTAATCTCACCCTGTCTGAACTTCAAAGGGACACACTGTTCTGACTGCTAATGAAATGAATTTTAGTTGTAAGTTTCCAAGGGATCAGAGCTGGAAAAAAAAAAAAATCCCAGCTGATTTAAAAAGACAAACATCTCCTTGGTGCTCTTTTAAAGCTATTTGGGTTTTACAGAGCCATCGCCCCAAGCAGGGGAAATCCAACAGCCTTAGCCTGGCCAGCACAAGGTCCCACAGACGCTAGATGGCACTAGAACATGCTCGAAACAAAGACCACCCAGCACCTAAGCTCCTCTGGTCCTTTGCCCAGCCCACCCCAGGCCCCAGGTGGGTTCAATGAGGCAAGATGTGTGATATAGACTATACAAACTGGAATAAACCATGCAAATGTTAGAAACTATAAATAGGAGTCAAGGAAGCAATATTACATGCTTGGACAAAATACACCCAGGTATTCTTTTCTGGATTTCAAAAGGCAAATCATCACAATAATTCAGTACTTAATGCTACTGAGCCATACACTTAAAAATGGCTAAGACAGTAGGTTTTCTGTTATGTATATTTCACCATAATTTTTTTAAAAGGCAAAGCATCCCCAATAATAGGAATAGTATAGTGTTTTCATTCCTAAGAAATAAATACAATAATGTAGTCAGTTACCATCTCTTACTCTGGTATAATGTATTCTAGCCCCAAAGCAACAAAAAAGTAGTTATTTTACAAACTGGCTCGTTCCAGGACACTGCCAGGCAGCTCATACCTCTGTTCATTTCGAAAACCTCACTTTATATAAATACCAACCTCCCTATCCTTGAGAAGGCTCCGAAGCAGGTTATTCTCATAGAGAGAAAGCTCTTATGCCCCAAACCAGCTTTGAGATGCGTCTGCTGCTGCCTGGAGCCTCACCATCTCCAATTCATTTGCGTGGAAAGGCAAGACAGCTCGTTTAAGCACAGATTACTGGTGGTGGGGTGAGAGCTGGGAGAACAGGGAAAGCCTCTCAAGGCATGAGCCTTACAGGCATGAGCCACTGTGCCCGGCCTAGAGTGGTTTTTCTGATGCCAATGTGGATAAATCTGCTCCTCTGGTTGGCCACCCTTTGAGCCAACTGCACAGCTCAGGTTGGATTCCAGCTGGAAGTCAGGTGAGGCATCCTGAGATGCCTGGTCTCACCTGGGTTGTGACGGGTACCAGGTAGAGGCTTCTGGCCACCAGCAGGGTTAGATAAAGACATTAGGATCCTGAGAATGGGAGGCAGTCCATGAAAGAGATAGTGCGCACTGGACTTGGACTGAGAGAGGCCTGGGGCTGAATTCCAGATTCCAGAGCTGGCTCCTTCCAGTAGAGTGAACCTGGGCAACTCTCTCAGCCTCAGCCTCTACCTACCACTGCCAAGTGGGGATGATGATAATAGCTCCTCAACCAGCTGCTGTGAGGACTACGTGGGCTGATCTGTAAGAAGGACCTAACATTAACATAGTGCCTTGATGAAGCCTGAATGACTCGCACAAAGCAGGCGCTCAGACCAGGGTTGAGGAGAACAGGGGAGCTGGAGGGGCTCGGAGTCATCACTATCTTAGCAGAAGTGGTTGCTGCTTTGTGGATAAAACTGGCGGCAGCTTGCCCCAGCCCTGCGAGTCATTCAGGCTTCATCTGGGCAAGGAAGCATTCCCTCCAGCCTTCTGCCCTCCAAACTTCCTTCCGAACCTTTTGATGGCCTCACGCTGTCCTGAGGATCAAGGCTGGGATCTTAATACTTTTTCTAAAATCCAGCCCCTTCCAGCCCCCGTGGACACATCCAGACAAGCCTCTGCACACTTCATTTGTGAGTTCTATCCCGTCAGCCCCATTCTCTTTACCTTATGCCCTCACAAATGCTGCTCCCTCCACCGGGAAGACTCTTCTCTTCAGGGTCTTATCACCCTTCAGGTCTCAGCCAAATGCCCCTTCCTCAGGGAAGCCCACCGTGCTACTATCGTGTCCTACACTTTTCCTTACACGAATCATCACACTTGAAATTGCCTGTTCAATGCCTGTCTCTCAACTCTTCAGTGAACTGTAAGCATAGGGTCTCAGCTGATAAAAGCTAGCCATTACTATTACTATCCATTCAACAAATATTGACTGAGCCCCTCCTGAGTTCCAGGCACCACTATGGGGGCTGAGGATACTGCAATGAACAACAAACAAAACACGGAAGTTCCCTCCTGGAGCTTTTATCTTACAGAGGGAGACTAGCAAACAACAAGAATGAATGTAAGGACAGTGTACACCCAGTGGTGATAAATACTACAGAGAAAAATATAGCAGGGAAGGGAAAAGATGCAGTTTGATAGAGGGTGGTCAGGGAAGGTCTCACTGAGCAAAGACCCAGAGGAGGTGGGTGGATTGGGGAGAGTGTTGGGGGTGGTGAACATTCCAGGCAGGTTTTAGGGCCAAGAAGGAGGCTTAGGGCAGATGTTTCAGCTGGGATGCCTCCTTCCACATTTTCTGACTGCCTCAGAGCAATGATCAATTGCATGGCCTCTCTATGCCCTAGGTAAGGGAATCCACGCAACAACCTAAGTCATGCCTGTGGCTCCCGGGAAGGGACCTGGCACAAAGGACGATTTATAAAATCTGAGTGCAGAACATCCCTTGGGGTCCCAGCAAGGTCGGATTTGATACTGGCTCACCTCCTCTGAAGGGACTCTGGGACAGGACCATTCCTAGTTCCTCGTTCAACTTTCATATTGGCCTTCTAGGTTGGCACAGGCTATTGGAGATGAAGGCTCTGGGGCTGATTTCACAGGGAATCCCAGACCACATACCTCTGCTCAATGTTCGAATCAGCAAAACACCAAGTCCTGCTTGCAGCAGCCTCTGCCATCGACAGTTGCAAGCCAAATCCTTTGGGTTTTGTTTTTGTTTTAGAAAGGACTTAGAAAAGGGCTAATAGTGTTCTTCTCAGAAGCAGGCAGAGAACAAATGCCATATGCTCTTCTAAATTAACCTTCCCACACAATGACCGGGACATTTCTATCTGGGAAGGTCTATTAAATCTCTCGAGCTGGAGGCAGGGGCTGGTTCCCTCATCATTATTCCTCTCTACTCCCCAAACATCAAATCTAGTATTGAGACCTGTACTTCTACTTCCCTGACATCTCTTGACTTTGTCCATTTCCCTCCATCTCACAGGGAAAGCCACCACCATCCCTCATGTAGACTACAAAGGTAGCATCCCAGCCAGTGTCTCTCTACTAACCTTGGCCTCTGCCCATCACTGTTCCACCGATGCTAGGGTGATTTTTCTTTTCTCTCTTTTTTTTTTTTTTCCTTGAGACACAGTCTCACTCTCTTACCCAGGCTGGAGTGCAGTAATGTGATCTCCACTCACTGCAACCTCAGCCTCCTGGGTTCAAGCGATTCTCCTGACTCAGCCACCTGAGTAGCTGAGACTACAGGTGCCTATCACCACACCAGGCTAATTTTTGTATTTTTAGTAGAGATGGGGTTTCACCATGTTGCCCAAGCTGGTCTTGAAGTCCCGACCTCAGGCAATCTACCCACTTCAGCCTCCCAAAGTGTTGGGATTACAGGCATGAATCACCGTGCCCAGCCTAGAGTGGTTTTTCTGATTAAAAACTGGATTGTAGTTCTGCCCTTTGGGCTCCCCACTGCTCTCGAGATAAAGTCCAATTTCCCAGGTGCACGGGCTTCTACAGTCCTTTATGATGGCACCCTCTGGCATCTCTACCCACGAGTCCCAGGGGGAGCATCTGTGCATGGTGGTTTGGTAAGCTTCACTTGTTGAAGCATCCAGCACAAGGCTGGGCAGAAGAAATTGCGGTTAAATGCGTGAGATGGACCAATATTCTCCAGCTAGCAGGAGGCAGAGGAGCTCCCTGTCCCTGGGCCAGACCCCTATGGGGAGGGTATTTATACAGATGCTGATTAATTGTTTGCCTACACACAGTATTACAAACAAACAGGGAATTAATTCTTCATCTTTCAGTTCCCATTCTAAGTTTAATTGCCTACATGTCATATACATATATATATATATATATGTAAAAACAACTCTGCCATCAATACGCAACAGTTGAGTTATGAACCTCCCGGCCACCTGATGCCTCAGATCAGTGAGTGTGGGGTAGCTCCTGCCTCCTCGGTGTACATCCACCAGGAGGAGGCTGCTTTGGGGAAACAGCTGGAGAAATTCCCAACATATATCTTTGGAAGGGCATTAAAACACCTCAACTGGTGGACCTTTGACCCAGGGAAAGTAAAGGCAAGTGCATATTTTGGGTACCTGCAGAAGAACAAAAAATACAATACTAGGTAATAAAACAGTGATTCAGAGCATGAGCTTTGGAATCAAATTCTTACAAGCTGTGTGATCTTGGGCAGGTCACTTAACCTCTCTGAGCCCTTACATCCTAAACTGATATGAAGCAGATTTGAGGAGCAAATGACATAACCTAAATAAAAAACTTAGCATGGTGGCTCAGACATGGTAAGAAGTCTACTCAGGTTAACTAACATTATAGCTTTACCTACTGTTACTTCTGATGTAGGAGCAAAAACTGTTGTCAAAGCCTCTGTATCACAACAATAAGACTAACCCAGCAGCATCAAGCATTTCTTGAGTACCTACTATGTTCCAATCCTGTTCTAAGAATTTCACAAATATTAATCACATCTTCCTAAAAATAACCTAACAGGCTAGTACCCCAATTTTACAGATGGTGAAACTGAGACAAAGTGAGATTTAAGGAACCAGCCAGGATTAAACAGCATGTACTATATAAATTCAAATATATAAGTGAAAAACACCTTCCTCTCAGTACTGTTTTATTGTGTAACTTTCACCATAAACTATTCATAATTGATAATCCTTCAAACCTCTGTTTAACCCCAATTCCATATGCAAATCTGTAGTTTTATTATATTAATATTTCATTATATAAACAATAAAGTAAAGACATTCCTTAAACCTGTATCTTTAGCTTCTAACAGTCATTTTTTTGCAGTCTTCTATATTAAGATTGCAAGATCAAGTGTTGACAAGAATACAGGTGTTGGTTATTTTTTAATGCGTGTCTTTCTTTCAAAACACAACAGTAATGTGCTCAGTGTAAAAAACTGAAAAATGGGCAAAACCAGACATTAAATTCTCTACAATCCACCACCAGGGATGACCACTGCTCACATTTGTTGAATTTTCCTTTTGGGCTGATTCTGCACAATTTTGTTTACACAGTCGAGTTCACAGGATGCACTTGCTCGGCAGTGGGTTTAACTCTGGGTGATTATGCATGTTCTAATTACTTAGCCATTCAGGACACCCACTGGTCTTACAACATAGGTTCTCTGCAGATTATAACTCCACAGAGTTCTTTCTTCCTTTCAACAGAAATTAAAAAGGAAATTAAAGCCACAGACATACCAAATAACACCAGGAACACTGGAGTTCCCGGAGACTAAAAATCAAAAGGCAACTTAGACCACCCAGCATCCCATTATTGCATACGTGAATGAGCTTCCACTGAAAAACCCAAACAAGGCTGATAGCCCTGATGGATGATCCGGGCTCCAGACTCCGCTGCCCCAAAGGCACAGCCAACAACTGGCTTCTTCTGGGGACCAGCCTCCCGACCCTGACCACACCGAAGGCCAATCCTCAACCTCTTCCCTGCATGCTGGAATTGGCTGAAATGGGGCTGGCAGGGGTCTTGGTGATAACTTACTCTCTCCAATAAGAGATCTGAGCATATTGATTACATTAGGAGTGATTACAGTGGGATAAAAGAAACCCTGCTCTTGGTGGGTGTAAGCCTTGATTTAGGAACAGGGCACAGGGCTGGAGAAGGTAAATGGTGCCTGATGAGCAGATTCACGCCCAGGAACTGAAGGACAATGCAGTGCCCTTGAGAGGCCAGCAGAGATAGGTGATGAGGGGGCGGGCAGTGCAGGCAGCGGGGACCAGCAGCAGACAGAAGCAAGGCATCGGGAGCAGTGGTGGGGTTCTAACGCTTCCTGCGGGATCCTGCCAAAGGAGAACCAAAGGCAAGAGGAGAGCAGAAAGCAGGACTGAGCCCTCCAAACAGCACTGTACGTGAAGGGTGGGGAGGAGCATCGCAGGCGCAGATCACAATGTGCAGACTGACTTCCTGGTTCCACAGTGTCTCCAAATCGGCCTCATTTGTCCCTGGTGGGGTCCCAGCATAAGCCTACAGCTTCTCTATCAGCTGCCTTCCAAGGGGGGTAGCCTTTTGCAGCAGATCAGGTTGAGGGGGTTATGGGAGGGGACGGAACAGGACCATAGAGCCTACCAGCCACACCCTCCATGTGGCTTGAAAACATCTTGTGCACTGCAGGAGCAAGAAGACACCATTCTCCACCACCAAAACTCTGTCCACCTCCACCAAAATAACTTACGGAATCACAAAAAGTGGTCTCCCAAATCTGTTCACCTTACAGCACTGTTTGGGCAGTTGGGTGCCGAGTAGTGGAGATCAGCACACCTTAAAGAACAACCCTTTGATCACCGTGTCATCTCAGATGGAGCAGTCTCACACTGAGCTTACAAACTCACCCCATCGACCAGCTGAGGCCTGTTTACCCTTCTGCGATTAGAAATTCATTCATCCATTCAACAAACATTGACTATCTACTATGTGCTAATGATTTTAATCATGATGACTAACAGCAGTGAAACATGTACTGCTTGCTGCGTATTAGGCACTGTACAAAGCATTTTTATGTCTTAATTCATTCTACACAACAATATCATTATTCCTATTTTACAGGCAGAGAAAACGAGGACAGAAAGAGAAAGTCATCCGCCTAAAAGTCACATAGTCGACAATAAGTGGCAGAGCTGGAATTTGAACCCGGGAAGTTGCTTTCAGAGACCATGCTCTAATGCACTCTACTGCCTCTGTGTACCAGGATCTAGGTACACATAAGTGAATGAAACAAGTATGATCCCTGCTTACATGGAATGCACAGATCAGAGTGCAGACCCACAATCATAAAGGCACAACTGATAAGTATGATAACTGCCCTGGAACAAACACTCTGGACACTGTGAACAATAATACTAAGGGTGAGGAGGGAAACAGCTAAGGTAGAACGGGTGACCTTGCAGGAACACAGTTCTAGGCAGAGGTAACAGCACCTGCAAAGACCCTTAAACAGGAAAGAGCTTGGCATGTCTAAGAAATGGAAATGAGGAGGTCAAGGCAGGCAGATCACTTGAGGCCAGGAGATCAAGACCAGCCTGACCAACATGGCGAAACCCCGTCTCTACTAAAAATACCAAAATTAGCTGGGCATGGTGGCACAAGCCTGTAATCCCAGCTACTCGGGAGTCTGAGGCATGAGAATTGCTTGAACCCAGGTGGCAGAGGTTGCAGTGAGCCAAGATCATGCCACTGCACTCCAGCCTGGGCGACAGAGTGAGACTCTGTCTCCAAGAAAAAAAAAAAAAAAGAAAGGAAAAGGAGACTAGCGTGCCGGACAAGGTGGAGGATACCAGGAGAAGATGTGCTTGAAGACCAGTTAGAACATACAGGGTATGTAGTCTGTGGTAAAGGGTTCAGATTTCACTCCAGGTGCAGTGAAAAAACTCCCAAAATACCCACCTTGCAGAGCCCAGTTGGGAGAGCCGTGGTTAAGGGAATCACCAGGCTACCCCAAGCTGTGTGACTTTTGTCAAATGAGTTCATCTCTCTGGGTCTCACTACCCTTATATGTAAAACAGGAATAAGAATACCTACCTTATAGGGTTGTTTTATTAAAAAAGTCAGTTACAAATGCTACCTATGCTAGTGCCTGGCATATAGTATATTGCTTCCATGATACTTGGTAGCCTCAGCCTCCACAAACTCCAAGTTTTCTCCATGTATTCAATAGCCTTCCTATTTTAGTAGGGGAAGTGAGACTGATAAGGGTAGAGACAAAAAGGAGAAGGAATGAGGCCAAATTAATTTGTGATCAATACTTCTTGTAGCTATTACGGTGACAGGCACCAGATAAACACAAATAGAGCTGAAGACCAGCTTCTCTGCCAGCTGTTGCCATCAGTTGCTTTGGACAATTATGCAGGCAAATGCATAACCTTTATATAATTAAGCATTCCCTGACATCTTATTTGCAGCTCTTCTTTTTTCATCCTCCCCCTTTTATTTAGTCTGCTTTCAGTTGTGAAGGTCCAGCTGCCGGCTTCACTCGGATGCGCTGACTTACGGTAATTTTGAGTTAAGCTTTATTTTACAGTCTATGTAAATAATGAGGCGGAGGCAGACTCAATAAAAGGCAGCCTGGCTTCAGCCAATATTCAACTCTACAGCCACAGCCGGACTTTAGGAGTCCGGGTGGTTGGCACAGACCCTCGGACAAGAGTCAGGGGGTCGGCACTGTGCCACAGCCTGGCTGGACTCCTGGAAAACAGGACATCTGCCAGGCCAAGGGGCAGACATTTGTGGCTAGGGCCTACTCCCCCTCCAAACTTCACTGTGAAAGAGGCATAACTGTTTCCAATTCTTCACCCTTTCCACACCCGTGCACTTGGCCATGCCACCTTGCAGCCTCTCTGGCTGGAGATAGAATATATTTATCTGCCCCACTGATCTTGGGCTTGGTCATGTGACTTACCTTGGGGTCAATGGGACAAATGAGCAGATGCTTAAAATATGCTTATAGAGCTGGGCTTGCGATTTTGTACTTCTAATACTGCCAGGAGAAAACCATGCTGTGGGGCAGCACATTGCTCCCAGGAGAAAGAAAAGCAGGTAGGGCAAACCTGCACCAGCTTGTAGAATGGAGCTAAGCTTGGTGAGCTACGATTAGCTGAGCTCTAGGCTGGGTTCAACTCTTGTGTTGCACACATCATATTACATTTAAAAATAAGCACTGATGGTTACTCATTTGAAAGTATCTGCTGAATACTTATTATGTACCACACTTTTATTATTATTATTATTATTATTATTTTGAGACGGAGTCTCGCTCTGTCGCCCAGGCTGGAATGCAGTGGTGCCATCATAGTTCATTGCAGCCTTGACCTCCTGGGCTCAAGTGATCCTCCCACCTCAACCTCCCAAGCAGTCGGGACTACAGGCATGTGCCATCATGTCTGGCTGATTTTTAAATTTTTGTTGTTGTTGTTGTAGAGACAAGGTCTCACTGCGTGGCCCAGGCTGGTCTCAAACTCCTTAGCTCAAACAATCCTCCCACCTCAGCTTCCCAAAGTGCTGGTATTTATTACAGGCATGAGTCACTTTCCTAGCCTTGTATGAAATTTTATTTTATTTATTTATTTAAAAATTGAGATAGGATCTCGTTATGTTGCCCAGGTTGGTATTGAACTCCTGGGCTTAAGCAATCCTTCTGCCATGCCCTCCCAAAGTGCTGGGATTACAGGCATGAACCATCACACCAGGCAGTACCATGAGTGCATAGAAAAGGAAGCAAGCAGTTAGATAGGAATTATCTGTTCACAAGTTTATCTCCTTCACTAGACTACAGGCTCCTAGGGGCTGGGGATGGAGTTTTTTCCTTTTGGTTTCCCAGCACCTAAAACAGTTCCTGCTTAATAATAATAGTAATTATTATTGTTATCATCATCGTCATGCAGTAACCACAGAACGAATAATTGCAGTGTCTATTTATGGAGTCCTACCATGTGCCAAGCCTGTGCTAAGCTCTTTACCAACGTTATTACACTTGATAGTCACAATTAAGGAGATGAATCCTGTTTCCATTTTTCAGATGGAAAATCTGAGGCTTGGGGAGGTGGCTTCATCAGTTCCTAACCCTCATGTGTACAGCACAAGCCCTTCCCACTTCTCCCCCTGCACTGAGCCTCCAAATCCTTGACCACTCTGTTCTGGATGGCATCTACAAATTGTTCATGCCCATCCTTTTGCTTCCTCGCTTGGGCACACAGCACAGCCCTTCCTCATCATTTTCTGCTTGTTTACTTGTTCCTTTGGTCCCCCAAACCAAACTAAGAACCTCAGGTAAAAATCCTAAGGTGCATGGATTGTGTCTGTGGAAGGCATAGTTAAGAGCTTGGGCTCTGAGGTCACAAGAGTGTGGGTTCGAATCCTGGCTCTGCCATTTACTGGATGACCTCATGCCTATCCCATTGTCTCCCTTAACCTCACTTTCCCCTCCTGTAAAATGGGGATTGTGATAATAGAAATAACTTCCTCAAAGGATTCCGAAATGGTGTAAAACACGAATGAGCAGTGCCTGGCATGCCGCGAGGGCTCAGTAACACCAGCCATTGCAGTGCCCTCCCTCTCTTTACCCGATGGCAGGTGGGAGGTGCTGGATTTGTGAGGAAGAAGGCCTCACGGCCTTGCCTGCTCCCACACTGGCACAGCATCACCACTCCAAACTAGAGGCGACCTTTTGGGTTTATGTACTGTGTGAGAAGCACAGAGGCTATGGATTCCTAGCATAAATCATAACAGATAGCTCATCAAGCTCTTATTTATACAAACCAGCTCTCCCTGCCTGAACACTTCTGTGCATGTCTCTCTTTTGCGATACTACTTCTCCAGAATTCCACAACCAGCAATTATTTTCCCGAACCATAATAATTTGATACTCATGGCGCACCCTTCCCAGGAGCCATCGCCATTGTGGTGGTGGACAAAGTGGGCCCTTGCTGTTTTACAGGACAGGGTAGAATGCCCTGGGTGTACGTGCTTACATGATGGCATTTCCATACTTTCCTCAGACTGTTCCACAGGCTGAAATATCAGCTCTGTGGCTCTTCATTTATATTCCAGCCTCGAGGCTGCACTCCACCACCCCACCTCTCTCCCTCCTCCCCTTTTCCTACCATGTGAAACAATTCCTCTCCCCCGGGTGTCTTCTGGCTCCAGTCATCACTCTCACTTAGGCAAACCCTTTCTATGGATTTCATTCCCCTAATTTTCTCCCATAAATCAATCCTCCCTTCCCTTGGCCACTGCTGCTCTGTCTGGATTACTCCTCTGGTCGTTTATTCATTTCATCCAATTGCATATTCAACGAATGGTTATTGAGTGTCTATGATGCCCTGGATACCGGGGACAGAATAGTGAACTAGAGAGGCGGTGGCTTAGTTGGGGCTGCTCTAACAAAATACCATGGACCAGGTGAACAACAAACATTTATTCCTCCTGGTTCTGGAGGCTGGGAAGTCTAAGATCAAAGTCCTGGTAGAATTAGGGTCTGGTGAGGGCCCATTTCCTGGTTCACAGACAGTGTCTTCTCACTGTGTCCTTGCACAATGGAAAGACAGAATGTGCTCCCTTGTACCCCTTTTCTAAGGGCATCGATGAGGGCTCTGCCCTTATGACCTAATCACCTCCCAAGGGCCTCATCTCCTAATACAATCATACTGGGGGTTAGAATTTCAGCATATAGAATTTGCGGGAGACACAAACATTCAGACCCACAGCAGGCAGTTTAGTCTCACTTCTGGAGGTGTAGACTGGCATCTGGAGGTGGGCTGCTGGGTTCAAACCTGGCCCCTTCACCTACTAGCTGAGTGACCCAGGGCAAATTAACTAATGCC